>NC_000013.11:79477990-79630831 GCF_000001405.40 Homo sapiens
GATATAAAGTTTTCAGTGCAAGAGATTCACTGCGGAGCAATGTCTGTTAAAATAAAAAGGACTGGGCAGGGGGAGCTGTCGCAACATGCTGCAGAGCTGAAAAAGTCTCTGCCAGCTTCACAGGGAACTCTGAAAGTTTGTCCCTTTAAGGGCTTCAGTGTCTGGCAAAAATAGCCAGAGCCTTGTACCACTGCCTTGCTCAGTTAGTGGCTGGGTGCCACCCTGAAAATAGCACCTCCTCAGGTTGAAAGCTGAGGGAGACCCTGACAAAGCTACCAATTGGAAGTTGTCTGACAGCCACATTCCTTCCAGCTGGGCAGAGTGTGCTTTCTTGAAAGGGAATCTGGGCAGCTTATCTCCATGTCTACTCCAGTACTGCAGAGCAGCACTAGTAAAATTTTGGGTGGCTGTGTGTTTGGAGATGAAAATTGATCAAGCCAGAATGAGAGGTGTTAGTGAAGTGCACTAAAATTCTACAATTCTACTTGAGGTAGCTTCTAGTGCTGCACCACTGCAAATTCCTTAGATAACTAGAGTTGTCGCCATAATACCAGGGATTGAAAATATTATTGGATGTTGCTTAAGGTCTGTAAAATGGTAAAGAATATTGTTATTCCCACTGCATCTCAAGTAAGTTTCTCCTAGTGGGACAACTCAGTGCCTCTGCTTGTAATGGTCCATTACAGGTCACATGGGCTTAGTTGTAAAGTGGGCAAAAGAAGCTCAGAATGGCTCTTTTGGGGATGATGAATAAGAATTATTATTTTACATAGATCAAGAAGGTGGGATTTAAAGAAGTCAGATTGGCTCTTTGTGATACATTGCTATCTTTTTATGTCTTCTGCACGTTTCACAGTAGTGGTGGCTAGGAAGAGGAAAGAGACAAGGACTCTTCTTTATTAGGTGCATTATGCTTAATATAGTGCTTAATATGGTGGAGGCTCTGATGTCTGTCATCACCTACTAGTGATTTGGCATTAGCCAAGTTCATGAAACTCCTTGTGCCTTATTTTCCCCCCTCATCTGTTAACCAAGGAGTGCAACTGTGCCTATATCATGAAGTTCTGGTGAGGCTAAAATAATAGATGTATAGTACTGGCTTAGAAAGGGCTCTATACTAGTAAGCTGTTGTTCTACTTCTCCTTCCCCTCTTTCTCTTCCTCATTACAAATACGCTTTCCTGCTGAATTTGTTACTCCACTAGATTAGCAAAATGTTCAGAGAATCTGGGAGGAGGGTAAAATAGAAAGAATCTGTTACTCTATCAGGATTCAAGATGTCTGCTTTTGGTCAGATCTTTGATTTTTACTTTTATGTTCTCAGTGCTGCATTGGGTGTAAGAAATGGTCTCTGCCCTGAGCAGCCATCTATTTGAGAAACAGATGAACACATGAATGATTAATGAAAACACATATGCATATAAAATTAAGTTCTAAATAAATCTTATAGATCGTAAGTGATATAAGGATCTAATTTCAGTTTGCTGATACTGGCTGTTGTTTTGGTCATCGAGAGGCAATACCATTTGGAGTGAAATTGTGAGAGTGAGCGTTTGTACCAGTAATACCAATAAAATGGCATATGTTTATTGGCTTAGAAACTAAAATACATTAAGATCAAAACAAGGCAAGTTTAACAATATTTAAGTATGAGATATCACTGCCTCTTATTGTTAGCACAGTAATGCTTTATGCTATTAGACATGTCAAAACGGCACAAATAGGAAGAGTTGATGAATGCTTTAAAAAGAACTATGAGGAAGGCTTACATTTTTTAGTTGTCAATCTCTCAAAGAGTTTCTGTTTTTATTCTATCTTGCTATTTTAACCAGTTGATTAGGCTCACCCAGTGGCAGTCTTCATTTCAAGGATCTCCTCTGGACATTCATGAAGGAAATAAATGGGGCTCCAGATCCCTTTCCTTCCCTTCAGGGCGCTCCACTGTAAGATCATTTAGGGAAAATGTGGTGTTATGTTAAAAACATAGCTGGGCCACATCAAGCAGCATCATAGTTTTTAGGGTATAGAACGTTGGTCTTCAGGTTAAAAGGTACTTTTCGCTGCTCTGTCATACTCTTCTACTTGCTAGAGAAATATGCTTTATGCCGTGTCATGTGTGGTTAACCAGACAGTGAGATACTACTAACAGTGCTCCCAAGTGATTCCTTGCTGTTAAATCAATTGGAATTATTGAGTATTACCACAAAATAATCCTATCTGATTTCATTACTTTCTTCTAACGTCCTTCCAGTAACCTAGAACTCTAGAGACCTCTTTCTTTGAGAGTTGTCTGGAGAGTCCGTTGGATTTTTAAATCTCTTATTACCAAAAAGTGGAAAAAAGAGTTTAAAAAGTAACCAAAGAGCTAGTGCCTGTAGTCTCAGCTACTCCAGAGGCTGAGGCAGGTGGATAGCTTGGGCCGAGGAGTTCGAGGCTACAGTGAGCCATGACTGCGCCTGCTAACAGCCACTGCACTCCAGTCTGGGCAATATAGTGAGACCCCATCTCTAAAAAAACAACAAACAAAAACAAAAATTACCCCACAGAAGAATTTCAGGGCAGTGGAAATACTCTGTAGGATACTATAATGATGGATACCTGCCATTACACATTTGTTCTAACTCGAGGAGTATACAACAACCTGAGTGAACCCTGAGGTAACTATGGACTTTGAGTGATGATGAGGTGTCAATGCAGGTTCATCAGTCGTAACACATGTACCACTCTGAGGGGGGATGTTGATAATGGTGGGGGGTTATGCATGCGTAGGAGCCAAGTGTATATGGGATATCTCTGTAACTTCTCAATTTTTCTGTAAACTCTAACTACTCTATATTAGTCTTTAAAAAATCGCTTATCTTACGAATGATTTTGAATAAGCGTTTTGGGAATGTTCTAGAGATGAATCTCCTCCCCATGTCCTACGCTGGGTGAGGAAGTGTCGGGTACCCGGGCGACCTGTCCTCAGGTGTTCTAGGAACGCGGCCCCATCCCTTGTCAGCCTCTGTCTCTGTGTGGTGAGAAGGCGCACTGGCTCGTGCCTGCGCGAAACTCGCGCACACAGAAAAGACCAATCAAGGACGGGTCATTCCCGCCCCCCGCGCGCCTTTTGCGACCGCCCACTCGACAGGTTGACAACCTAGACAGCTCCCCCGGACTTGCCTTACTTTTCCATCTCCTCCCACCCAGCTATACCCTCCCACTGGCGGCGCGGATGGCACGCCGGCGGAGCCAGCGAGTCTGCGCGAGCGGTCCGAGCATGCTCAATAGCGCGCGCGGCGCCCCGGAGCTTCTCCGCGGAACCGCGACCAACGCGGAGGTCTCGGCGGCCGCTGCGGGAGCCACAGGAAGTGAAGAGCTTCCGCCGGGAGACCGCGGCTGCAGGAACGGAGGCGGAAGGGGCCCTGCGGCGACGACGTCGTCGACGGGGGTGGCCGTGGGAGCTGAGCACGGAGAAGACTCCCTCTCTCGGAAGCCGGATCCCGAGCCGGGCAGGATGGATCACCACCAGCCGGGGACTGGGCGCTACCAGGTGGTGAGTTCCCGGCCTCCTGTGCCTCCCGGGACTGCCTCCCGCCGCGGCGTCCCGAGAGTCCCTTTCCTCAGGTTATTCCCGGAGGAAAAGCTGTGGCTTTTTTTTGTTGTGTTTTGTTTTGTTTTTTTGGATCTTCTGGCTGGAGCTGCTTCACTCGCCTCACCTGCGCACTCCTGCCTAGGACTCCTTCGAAACCCTTCTCTCTCGCCCCAAGTCTGCTTAGCTCCTCACCCGCACCCTTAGCCCCGCTGTGAGACGCCCTCCCTCCACACACCTTACAACTTGTATCCGTTTTAATTTCTCACTTTATCATTTTCTTATTCTCTGACTCAGTCACTCCTGAGACATTCTAGTCGATTGTCTACTGGAAATGGGGCTGACTTCACATACCTGCCCGGAAGGTGATCGCCGTCATAAATGGGGTGGGTGAGTAGGTGGGTGGAGGTGTAAGTACTGCGTGGGGTGGGATGTGGATTTGGCAAAAATGTGGGTTAGGAATTGTGGAACTGTAGAGAAAGACTAGCCATAATGCTGATCTTGTCTCTCTGCTCGTTAACCTTGTCATTTTGTCCTTTTCCATTATGTTAGTATTAAAAATGACTGTATTTTTTGGTAATCCCCACTTTTTCTTTCTTTCTTTCTTTCTTTTTTTTTTTTTTTTTTTTTTTTTTGGTTAGAGGGGAAACAGAGGTAGTTTTAGTAGAACAAATTCTAATCTTGTTTGAAAAATTATTTTTCGTTAAATACAAGGTTTTCCAGCTTAACTGTGTAAACTTTGGTAACTATGTTGAAAAAAGTGAAATGTGTTCCTCTATATTTTCAGTGTCAATTTTTAAATATATTTTTCTTTGTGTATTCTGGTGGTGACGTTGGAGATTCCTGTTGTAAACCTTAGTTAAAGATGGACTGAGCAATAGTTGACTCTGCTGTTGTGCTGTTGCAGCTAGGTAGCATGTCATTCTACAAACTTTCAGCCCATTTACTGAGGGAGAGGAGAAAAACAATACATAGCACTGGTGATGCAGTTTATGGTTTATAAAATTTTACAAATTTAGGTATGTTAGTCCCAGGTTTCAACTTTCAAATCTATTTGCACATGTAAGACAGGTTATAAGCCAAGACTTTCTATTAATAAGTACATTTTGGCAAATATGAAGGAACTGTAAGATGAGATCCTAAAGTATGTAATTTTGCATTTTTCTAAGATAAAAGCTCATGAGGCTTCCATTTTCAATTGGTTTGCATTCCTTAAAACCTACAAAAGGTCCATATTCCGAATTCTTTGAAAATTTATCAGCTTTTCTCAACAACTTGGGAAATACTGTTTCTCCCAGTATGGAAAGCGTTTTTCAAGTTGTCAGTGTACACCCTTTTGATGGTTTGAAAGGCATTTCTAGGTTTGTAAATGTTAGCAAAAATAAAATGATATAAATATTGAATAATATCAGCAGTGAAACTTGTTTCATTTTTCCTACAGACGTCACTACCCAAAACACTGTTAATTTATGTAGCTCTCAGTTTTAAGATATTTGTTTTCCCAACAACTCCTTTCAAAATAAATGGGCATATTTTATTGCTGCCCCCTCCCCTCGTTTTTTTCAAACTGACGATGTGTCCTACATAGACTTTGAATGTTCCTTGAGAACAGAGGGCAAAAATCAGTTCTTCTAAAGATAAAGCCTACCAGTCCCTCTAAAGGTAGTACTTTAGGTAGGACATCGATCTGTTCTCCTTGTAAGGCAACTTACAACTAACATTGTAAGGCAATGTTAGTGTTAGAGTTACACAATTTACGTAGTCATTTAACCTATCTAGTATAACTCTTGGTTTTGTTTATAATGGCCTGATTAATAACATCAGTGTATGCCAGAGAAAAAGCTGAATTGACATTTTCAATAGACTTTTTAAACTAGGGATCAGTCTTCAGCTCTGGCTTATATGATGAACACAACTATTTTGTGGTTGCCTTTAGCTCAGTTTTTGGGAAAACTGGAATGCTTAATAAACTGGAGCAATAAACCACTTGAGTTGTTGAATGTTAAGGGATGACTAAGTCAGGAGATAGGCAAGTATACTTAGGGGTGAGATGGTATGCAATGTTAATTTTTCACTTACTTAAAGAGTTTAAAAACAGCTTTTCATACTGGAAAGCTAGCAGTGATGCTCAGGGTCATCAGAAGGACTTACTACCATTAGCCAATGCACAAGCTTTATCTAGAAACTGCTTTTTCTGTGATCTCTTCTTTCCTTTCATTGTTAAAAGCATCCAAAATTTATTGAGTAAAGCAGTGGATAACAGTTTAGAGCTACAAAAATTCTTGATTGTTACCCTTCTAATTTCAGAAAAAGCCAGGTATGACACGTAATTTTATGGGAAATTCAGTTTTGTTTGTTAGTAAATGAGCAGTGTTGCTAACTATGACGAAGTTGACTTGGCTTGCAGCTGCTAGACCACATTCTAACTTTGATGTTCGTTATTTTATTATTTATTTATTTATTTATTTTTATTTTTTGAGATGGAGTGTCTGTCACTCAGGCTGGAGTGCAGTGGCGTGATCTCGGCTCACTGCAACATCCGCCTCCTGGGTTCAAGTGATTTTCCTGCCTCAGCCTCCTGAGTCACTGGGACTACAAGTGTGGTGCACCACACCTGGCTAATTTTTGTATTTTAGTAGAGATGGGGTTTCAGCATGTTGGCCAGGCTGGTCTCGAACTCCTGACCTCAAATAATCTGCCCGCCTTGGCCTCTCAAAGTGCTGGGATTACAGGTGTGAGCCACAGAGCCCGGCCAAAGTTCTCTATTTTAAAGGATTATGTACCTGTACCAAGCTGACTTCTAAGATTGTACCTGTACCAAGCTGACTTCTTATTCTGTGTACAAGTTAAATTGGCAGTGTTGATTGTAGCAGTAATTTCCCAAACTGTATTTCAGAATGATAGTAAGTGTAACTGGAAGATTTATAATACATTAGCATATTAAAACCATGAAAAATTCTGCAGTAAAGACAGTGATTTGGATTTCTTTAACCTAGCTCTTCCTAATCTTTGTTTTGTTTTGTTCTTTGTTTTTAAAATTTTAAGATTATGTTAACATTTCTACAATATCAATTTTCTATGGAACATAATTTGAAGTATTCATTCTACAAAGATCTGAGTACTTTGCTCTTGTATCTGGGGAATTAGAGTTGCCCTCGATAAATTAGCTGAGAAGGAGGCTTGAAGGAGGCCTGACTATTAACGGGTAAAAAACCTACAGGTTTTAAAGCCATCTGGGCTTATATATTAGATTGTGCTGTTTGCAATTTGTGAGACCTTGCTTAGTTACTTTACATCTTGAAGCCTCAGTTTCCTTATATTAGTATCTACCTGACAAAGATTATTGTGAGAAATAATATAATACATGTGTAAAACATGTAAAGACTGGTACATGATAAATAAGTACCCTTTTTACAAGCTAATAAGTTAGTGTGTTAATGTTTCACGGTTTCTGGCAAAAAAGAGGTGACCTCCAGGTTAAAGACTGATCATTACTCATGACATAGCAAGCAGCACGAACATCAGCATATTTGTGTAGGTTTTCCTAGCTACCAAATTCCACAGAGGGGCTGGGTGTCCATATGGATTCGTGCAGTGGGTTTGCATCACAGCTGAGGAACTCAGAAACTCAGAACCAAGGGTGCAGCTCTTTTTTTTTTAAAGCAAGCAGCAAATATCTTAGCAAACAACAAACAAACTAGTTCACCTTCTCCTGGGATGGCAGTTACACACTGTGGTTGCCTGATCTTTGTTCCCTGTGTAACTTATTAGAAGAAACAGCTCAGTATGAGGAAATGGAAAGCTTTACACACACTCAGCAAGAATGTGCAGGGACATTCAGGCCCATGGCTGACTGCCTTACTGAATAGTACATGTTCTGGATGAGATAATGTATAATGAGTTTTAGTTATACTCATTTCATTTTCCACTGGAAAGAAGTGTTGCAGGCTCTTACCTTTCCTTACTCTCTAGTTGTCACCTTTTCTTGCCAGCCTTATTCCTTTGATCGTCTCTTGTTTGTTTCTTTTGAATTTATCAGTATACTTTATCTGGCTTATATTCTTACCACACCTCTTTTACATAATCAAGGTTACCCAACTGCATAGTCTGATAGCTACTTTTCAGTTCTCATGTTGCTTGATTTCTCTGTTATACTGACAGTATGAATGTTCTTTGAAACTCCGTCCTTATTCCTGATACAGTTAATAAGAAGCTTTCTACTTCTCTTGACTTTTTCTGACTTTTCTTGTCTTAGTGAACTCTTTTTGTACTTAATCCATTCTCCTTAAATATTGATGCATTACCTGGCATGGAATATTGTCTGTTACTTTCTTCCTCATTTGACCATCCTTCAGGAATTGTTTGCATCGTGTGAATCATATTTGTAGAATATAGGTTGAGTATTCCTAATCCAAAAACCCGAAATCTAAAATGCCCCCAAATCTGAAACTTTTTGAACACCACATGATATCACAAGTGGAAAATACCACATGTACGTATTCAACACAACTTTGTTTCATGCACATATAGTCACGTTCATCTTTGGGTCCCATTCCCAAGATATTTCATTACGTATATGCAATATTCCAAAATCCAAAAAAAATCTGAAATCCAAAACACTTCTGGTCCCAAGCATTTTAAATAAGGGATACTCAACCTGTATAAATTTTTTGTTCTTTTGCTCAAAAACCTTCAGTGGCCCCTTACTGAATCTGCCCCCAACATTTAATAACATTTAATATTAAAACTTCCAAATTTTTAAAAAAGTTGAAAGAATTGTACAGTTAACCTCCATACAAATTGTGGGCTCTACAGTTAACAGTTTATTCTATTTGTATTGTTGTGTATTTATCAATCCATCTATTTTTCGATCCTTTCAAAGTAAGTTGCAGGGATCAGTGTACTTGCATGCAAGCCACATGTTTATCATTAGCCTACATTTTAATATTTGTTTATGGTTCTTTTTCTTTGAGGTAAAATCAATGTATATTAAAATGCACAAATCTTACATGGCCTAGTGGATGAACTTTGGCAAATTCAGATACTCATGTAACCCAAACCACCTTTGACATGTAGAGCAGAGATCAGCAAACTGTGGTCCAACTCCTGGTTTTGTAAATAAATTTTATTGGCACACAGCCATGCCCATTCATTTACGGTGGTAGGGTTGAGGACATTCATGTACTGCATAATGTCTTTTCATTCAATGAGGGACCTTATATACTGGGGTCCTGTAAGATGTGTTTAGATAAATACTGTTGTTTTACAGTTGCCTGCAGTATTCAATACAATAACGTGCTGTACAGGTTTGTAGTCTAGGAGCAATAGGCTAGACCATACGGCATAGTATGTAGTAGGCTATATATACCATCTAGATTTGTGTAAGTACGCTCTCTGATGTTAGCACAGACACTCATCCATCATAGGGACCCCACCCTCATGACGTCATCTAAACCTAATTACCTCCTATAGGCTCTAACTTCAAATAACATCACTCTGGCGATTAGGGTTTCAACATATACATTTTGGAGAGACACAAACATTCAGTTTGTACCACTGCCCTTTACAGATAAATTTAATGACCTGATACAGAATATTACCATCACCCTAGAAAGTTCCCTTATTATCCTTACTAGATCAATTCATACCCCCCAGGTGACTGTTCTGATTTTTTCACTTCAAATTACCTAGTTTTGCCTATTCTAGAATCATACAGCATGTAGTCTACAAAGCTTCTTTCATTCAGCATGAAGTTTTTTAGATTGATCCATGTTTTTGTGTATATCAGTAGCTCATCCCTTTTTATCATATAGTTTTCATCGTATAAATCGAATGAATACACTGCAGTTTATCCATTGCTGTTGATATTTGGGTTTTTAGTTTTCTTTTGCTGTTATGAGTAAAGCTGTTATATTCTTGTACAAATCTTTCTGTAAAGCTGATAGGAATGAATATTCTTGTACAAATCTTTTTGTGGACATATGTTTTTATTTTCCATGGGTGGAATTACTGAGTAATAGGGTAGGTGTATGTTTCAATTTTATAAGAAACCACCAGACTTTTTTCCAAAGTCATTATGCCATTTTACACTTCCACCATCAATGTATGAAGTTTTGGTTGCTCCACACACTTGCAAACATTCTGCTGCTGTCAATCTTTTTAATTTTAACCATTCTGGGTTTATTAAATTTTTGAAGTTTAAAATTCCTGTTCTTAGCATACAAGTTTTTTTGAATGGGCCCTCCCTACCTGTACAGTGACATATCTCTGTCTTCTTAATTTTTATGCACTGATTTCTCATCTGAAGTTCTGTACTCTCTCTAGTTTGTTTGCCTCATAAAATCCTGTTCTTAAATGTAAAAACTCCTTCGAATCTATAATTGAAAGAAGGAGGTAGAGAGAGTTTCTGACCTCTGTCATCAGCATCAAGGCAGAAGAAAGTTAGGATAACTTGTTATACTGAATTATGTGTTTGTGTGTCTTTCTAACCTTCTAGACTACTGCTTTTTCTCAAAGGTGTGTTAGGGTTCTGTCAATGTCTGATTTTTATTTCATCTTTAAAATAGATCTTTGTATGTTGAAAAAACTAATTGAGGAAATGTACACTCAAATATGTTGTATACTAAGTAGTACACCAAGTTGTATACCAATACTCAAATGTGTTATATACCAAGTTGTTGCTTATAACTTGAAGACCAGTATTATGTCAATTTGGGTTGCCAGGGTAAATTGCTTTTAAACATACCCCAGATTAAAATTTCTCTTGCTATTTTTGTGCATGTCTTGATATTAACTGTAAATACGTTATTTGGTTGAGTTTAGCTCATTAAAAAAAAATTATACAAATGAGTACACACCTGAACAGTGCTGAATCAAATGGTAGCCTTTGCTTAGGCACATTTGAGCAGTACATGATCTAATACTGGAGTACTATATGTGTAGTGGCAAATAAATGTATTGGAATTGTATCATGAAAATACCATATTATAATTTATAGCTTATGTTTTTGAGTGCCCTTTGTCAGATTTATGCTAAAGGTAAGGGAGCAGTTTTTAGATATCATTATTGATTATGAAACAAATATCCTATAACTCATTCATCTGATATATAATAGCTATATATTATAGTACTTCTGTCTGCTTCTGTTTTAGGTGTTGGTTAATAAGACAGTTAAGTTTTTGTCTCATGGCTCATGCTTTGGTGGAGAAGTGCAGATAGATAAGTAAGCCTAATGTCAGATAGTAATAAATTCTTTGAAGAAAATAAAGCAAGTTGATGGAATAAATAATAAATTCTATCAATTATGAAATAGCAATAATAGAACAGTACTTACATTGTATTAATAAAATGCTGCTAAATGCTTTGTACATATTAGCACGCTTAATCCTTCCACTTCTATGAAGTAGATAATGTCATTATCCTCAATTTGCAGGTGAGAAACATGAGACACAAACAAGTTAAATAATAGGCCCAGCTGTGATGGAGCTGGTATTCAGACTTGGGTGTTTTAGTTTTATATTGCTGTGTAACAAACATCTCTAAATACAAGTATTTATTTTCTTTTAAGATTCCATGGGTTGAGTGTGATCAGGAGATTGTTGATTCTACTCCACATAGTGTTAGCTAGGACTGGAGCCATTTTGGGGCTTGGTTGGGTTGGAATTTCCAAGATGGCTCACTCACTTGGCTGCAGTTGATGTTGTCTATTTTCTGGAAGCTCAGCTGGAACTATTGACTTCAGCATCTCAGTTCTCCTTTGTGTGCCCTCTTGATGTGACCTTGGCTTCCCACAGCATAGAAGGAAGAGGAAGCTGCCATTCTTAAGGCCTGGGCTTGGAAATTCATAATGTCATTTTTGCAGTATCCTATTGGTCAGAGCAGTTGTAAGACCCCCCAAATTCAAAGGGAGAAGAAATGAATTCCATCTGTCAGTGGGGGAGAAACTTGCACATACATGGAGGGGAGAATGTGATAGTGGCCATCTTTGGAGATGATGTGCCACACCAGTCAATTTGACCCCTTAGTAGATAGGGATCAGCTTAGTCAGGTAACTCCATCCACTCTTAAGTTGTGACAGTCACGCAGACTTGATTGAAATGTGAAGATCTAGTTCTAGTTGATGAGTATTGTAAATGTGTTAATAACCTGTAGTGGAAATGAGTTTGTTGATTGAAGATATAGGAGGAAAGCTGTATGGCTGCAGCAAAGTTAAGGGGATGGCCTAGAGTGGAATGGGACAAAACAGAAACAAATTTTATGCTGGATTTCATAGAAGAATGGAACTGTCATTTATAACTCTAGTTTATAATTGTTTCATGAAAGCAGTTAGGTCCACCTACATGATTTGCAAGGTCTAATGCCGAATGAAAATGTGGGGCCCTGGCCTGTGATGAGGAAGTCAATCTCCCCTTTCTGTAGACCTTGTTTTTGTATAGGTCTGTGGACCCCCAAGCAAATATGTAGTCTCCATGTCAGGACATGCTCATTACCTACATCAGTGATAGGCAAGAGGCCACCCTCTGAATGTGCCAGGGTGATTCTAGCCTAGGATGGGGATGGCTGTCACCTTGCCTTTCCCTAGTTGTAGGGTGAGGATTAGGAGGTCAGACTGAGCCACAGGGTTCAACTGAGTGAGAACACTTCCTGGAGAGGCAGACCACTGGTGAGCTGAGGTGTCAGGCCCCTGGCACATGCTCCATTGGAGTCCTATTGGAGTTTACTTATAAAACTGATATTTAGAGATAAAATTATTAAGAATTTTAAGACAGTGATCACAGGGTATTAAACCCCAATCATGGATTCCTCCTGAGTGGTGGTCTCATGTGACTAGAGTGATCACATGCTCGTGAAGATGACCCTGAAGCCTATGTTACTTGGGGTGGTGGTGGTGGTGATGTAGACCAGGGGTTAGTAGATTAGTAAACCCTTTCTGTAAAGGGCTAGATAGTATTTTAGGCTTTATAGGCCATGTGGTCTCTGTCACAGCTACTCAGATCTGCCATTGTAGTGCAGCAGTATCCATACCAAATATGAAAATGAACAAATGGGCTGTGTTCCAGAAGACTATTTGCAAAAACAGTGTGCTGGATTTGGCCTGCTTGCTCTAGTTTGCCCACCCCAATGTAGATGTTATAGGAATGTACCTCATATAGGCCTGAAGCTTGGCATGTTGAAGGACGCTTCTAAGAAATTAATTTTTTATTTCACCCAGTCTCTAAATAAATTCCTAACAATGTGGTGAGGTTGTTTTGCATCCCTTACTTGCACCTGATAATCAGCCAAGCACCTAGTCTGTCCTAGAATTGGGATGGATATGAGTGGATAGTAGAAGAGAATATAATACTCCCTGTGAGAGTGTCAAAAACAGCTTATTCAAATATGGTAGAATCTTCATTCTGTTAGTGTGATTGCCTCATTGAGGTCATTCTTGACTACCTTATTTTAAATCACTATATCCCATTCACAGTACTCCTTATCGCTGTTTCCTGTTTGTTTTTATCCAGAGTACTTATCATCTTCTGGTATTCCAAATATTTTGCTTATTTATTTCCTACCTCCCTTCTTTCTCCCTGAATTTAAGCCTCATGGTGGTAGAGAGATTTTTGTCTGTTTTGCTCACTACTGTATATATCTTTCCATACCTGCCATATGGTAGACTTTCAGTATTTGATAAAGATGAATGAATGGTGCTAGTTCAAGGCCAATTTTATAGACATAAAACCTTGCCTATGTTATTTTATTCCTTTTTATATTTATTCTGTTTCTGCTACTGAGACCTGGGCTCTTTAAGGTGGGGGTGATGGTGGTGGTTGTTTCTTTGCATTCTCTTCCAGCTTGAAATATATTGCTTAGTCTTCCTCTGTCTCTCTCTCTGAATGGTGTCCTTTAGAGTTGTTCAATAAGTAGCCCATGAAGCCATATGCAGTGGCCCTGCTTATCACCTTCATAAACTGCGGAGTTGTGAATACTGGTTTGATTTTCCTTATCTTTTTTATATTGATTACTTGGCAACTATTTTCTTCTTACTATTTTCTTAATATCTGACCTTCATTCTAAAACATTGCTCAATTGTATGTGTATTCGCAATATGTTATTTTAGGATTTTGTATGTATTCTATATATGTAGGCCTGACTTGAGTTTAATTAACTGTGGAATGGTATGGAATCTTCTACTGACGTTTAGTCAATGTAAATTTACTGACAAGATCACTGTAATTAAGGCTATGCAATTGTAAATCATCGTATGTCTCTGTTTTCGGGCCATGTTGTTATGGTTTCTTTCAGATGTTTGATCACTTAGCTGGAATTAGGGTGTGGGTAAAATTCTTGTTAAAGACGTGCCAAATGCAAGTTGGGAAATGCTGCAGTAGTCTAAGATTTACTGTCAGATTATTTCAGGGTTTTGACTTGCTTGCTTTTAAGATTTGTTTGAACATGTACAGTTTAATATTTTAAAAGTTCAGGAATGTGCTGTGGTTTAGTTCATCTATGATGTTTCTCCAGAATTACTCATAACATTATGTAAAGAAATTGTGCTATTTGGACAGAGGTTTTGAGAATAAGGGAGTGAACTGGATTTCATTTTGTAAAAGAATCTTCTAATGTGATGGTATTAACCCCTTTACTAATTTTGGGGGTCTTAGGACATATAGCCTTTTGGATATTGGACTGAGGAAATCCAGTAGTGACACCTTTTTTTTTTTTTTTTTCCTTTCTTTATAAGTGTTCAAAGTGACAGCTTTTGTAGAACATTTGTTCTCCTCACCTCGGGAGAGCTTTCATCTATATCAGATGACTTTTTGTGTGATTTCTGTCAAAAGGGAAGAGTCTTGAAATAACACTTGAGAGTTTTGTTTTTTTTGAGGCAGAGTCTCGCTGTGTCACCCAGGCTGGAGTGCAGTCTGGTGGATCACAGCACTGCAGCCCTAACCTTCTGAGTTCAAGCGGTCTTCCCCCTCAGCCTCCCAAGTAGTTGAGACTACAGGCATGCATCACCACGCTTGGCTGAATTTTTTCTTTTTTAGAGATAGAGTCTTACTATGTTGCCCAGTCTGTTCTCAAATCATTTTTCTGCCTTGGCTTCCCAAAGTGCTGGGATTACTGACATGAGCCACTGTTCCTGGCCACACTTAAGGCCCTTTTAAGTATTTGTTTTTAACCTTTAGAGAACAACAGGAGCACCTGCATACCTCATCCCTGCCTACGTTGTTACTGCATTGCATACTTTGGCCATGTTTTAAACTATAATGCTTTTGTTTCTCTATCACCACCCCAAATCATGCTATCTCTTGCTTTGTAGCTTTTAAATATATCTTTCCCATTTTTTCTTTTCTCCCTCCTTCTTCCAGGACTAATTTCAATTGTGTATTCAGATCTATATTTAGATGTTATTTTCTTCAAAAAACCTTTCCTTCCCTTTTACCTCCCCATCTCCATTTCCTGCTCTTTACTTTCAAGTTCTGCGTGTTCTTTTAACTGTGTGCACTTATCCTTGTTATAGCCCTTATTTCATGGTGTGTATTTCCCCACTAGATTGTAAACTCAGTGGGAAGCAGGGCTTAGATCTGTCTTGTTTATAATAGTTTATGTCATTGTTCTGGTCCTGTTATAGGTGCAAAATAAATACTTATTAAAGAAATAAATGAATGTCTTTTCTGAATGATTCCAAGTGTGTGCATGGCGATACTGGTATATTTTATTATGTTTATAAAGTGATATGTAGTTTTACAGAATTCTGTGCTATAAAAGTAATAATGTTTTGCACAGCCTATGCACTGTTGATATTCTTGATGTTCATAATTAGGGTATATCCTTTGCTTTTATAATAGTGCTGATGAATCAGTTTAGATGAGTTCTGGTATTTTTGAATAATTCCTCTTGTAACCAGTGGCTTGCATTTGCAAGATAGTAACCATGGTTAGGTTATTTGGTCTACCCATGGAAAAGAGAAAAGGAAATTGTTTCCAGATATTGTGGAAATAGGGGAGTCCTTAATGATCATTTTCTTCAATCTTCTCATTTTACAGAAGACTATCCGAGGGAGGTTCTGTTCAAGGTTATGCAGGAAAGCTTAGAGGACAGATTTTATTACCGTAAACGTAGCAACAGAGTTAAAATACATCAAGGATCCTGGGAAATAAAACCTTTATGATAGCTAAGTTTCTTTTATTTATGGCAATGCCAGACATAGAGAGCATGAATGGTATAGCTTAAAAAGTCTGGTATCATCTAGCTACAATGAACCCAGCCAATTGTGTAGCACTCACACCTCGGTAATCTTTCATTGGGCTGGATTTAGCTTGTAGGTGTTTTCTTTAACCATCATATTAAAAAAAATCAAATAGTACATGTCCACTTTTAAAATTCCGAGCACCAAAAGACGAATAATTAAAAACAGCAATCTCCTTTTCACCCTTTATCTTGTAAGTTTTTCTCCTTGGTGGGGAAGAACCCAAAAAACCTTTTAACTATTTCAGCTGCTTTATTTTACTGTGTATTTTTAACATATGCAGTTTCAGCCACTAATTTATTTTTATTAATTTTACTTTGCTTTCTTACATGTCCTTGCTTTCCCTACCCAAATCATGATCTTTGTAGTCCTGCCTCTTGGGTTCAAATCTTGACTTCTCAAAAACGTTGTGATCTTGGGCCAACTATTCTATGTTGTAGTTTCCTCATCCCTCATCTGTAAAGTAAAGACAGTACAGAATTCTATCTCAGAATTACTGTGAGCATTAAATGTATGAAAACCATCTAATTTTTGGTTAAATCAGTGACAAGTATTTACATTTTATGACTGAAAATACTAACTCATCACTGAGTTAAGCAGTATATTTTGTATAACTTTAAAAATATTTCATGGAGTTGCTTAATTTTTATTTCTTTAGTTATATATTTATTGTTAATTTTTTGCATATCCTCTGGTGACTTTCCAAAACTTACTTTTCATGTTAATTTTTGCATGGTCAAAGGCATTGGATTAGTTCCTTTTTTCTTTGAAGACATTCTTCCTAGAGCCTTCTATTCTCCTATTTCATCAGTACTGTTTGCTCTCTAAGCCTGATGCACAGCTATCATACTGAGACTTTTCCCTGTAGATGTGTTATATTTCCTGTTTGTCGCACTCTAAGTCTTTTGTTGTTTTGTTTACTCTTTCATTTTGGTGGAAGATGTTTTCCAGTAGGTTCCTAAGAAAGGATACTTGGGAGGTTAAACATTTTTTAAGACATTGAGTTTGCTGACATAAAGCTCATTTTAATGTCTGTAATACCTGTAGTGATAATAACCTCTTTTTAATTCCCAATATTGGAGATTTTCTAAATTCTTTTTTCCTTAAATAGTCTAGTTGTGATTTTCTGTCAATTTTATTCATCTTTTTAAAGAATCATCTTTTGGCTTTGTTAAATTTCTGTTGTTCTGTGTTACTGATTTCTGTTTTTACCTTATTTATTTACTGTTTTTCTCTTTCTGTTATGGTTTACTTTTTTGTGTGTCTAATTTCTACTTATTTGATACTTTTCTAGAAATCTTATTTTCTAATTTGATTTTATTCACTTTAAATTTCTTGAGACTTTTTTATGGGCTAATATATCCAACTTGATAATATACTGTGTGCACTTGAAAATAATGTATATTCTTCAGTTGTTGCATATAGTGTTCTAAAAATGTCAGATCAGGTTCATAATATTGTTCTGATCTTCTGTGTCTGTATTGATTTTGTTTTTGTGTTCTACTAATTGCTGAAGAAGAGTTATTAAAATCTGCAATGATTTAATGATCCTTTAATGATCTGTTTCTTGTTTTCTAAATTCTGCTCTCTTATGAAATGTCCCACTTTATCTCTGATAGTGATCTTTGTCTTCAAGTCTATTTTACATGATATTAATAAAGCCTTCTTATTTTATATTTAGGTTGGTGCAAAAATAATTGCAGTTTTTGCCATTACTTTAAAATACTTTCAGATGGCAAAAACCACAATTACTTTTGCAACAACCTAAATATTTTTGTGTGGTGTATCTTTTTCTGTTTACTTTCAACCTATCTAGGTCCTTTAAATGTGTCTTTTGTTGGTACCTTATAGTTAGGTCTTACTTTTAACAGCCTCTGCCTTCTCATTGGAGTGTTTGCATTTAATGTAATTGTTGATATGGTTGGTTTACGTCTACTGTTATATTGTTTTTTATTTGTCTTTTCTGCTTTTTGTTCTTTTTACCCTTTTCTATCTTCTTTTGGATCATTTGATTTATGAAAAAAGTTTTAGTGTCCCTTTCAATATTTCTGTTGCCTTTTAGCTTTCCATGTTTGCTCTTAGATTACAAGAAAGTGTGAAGGTTAGGCATGTATATTTAACATTAATATTGTATCACTTCATAAAAAATGTAGAACTTCCTAACCACAAAGGTCCATTTACTCTCCAGCCCCTTCTAATTTCAGTGTGATAGTTGTCATATGTATTATGTTGGGAATCCCACCAGATAATGTTATAATTTTTGTCTTAAATCATAACATTTTAAAAAACATAAGAGAAAAAATTAATCTTTTATATTTCCTTAGATATTTACCATTCTCTGTATCCTGTATTCATTCTTGAAGACACGTTTCCCTGTATTATTAATTTCTTTTTAATGTGAAGAACTTCCTTAAGAACTGCATTTCTTAAAGTGCAGATCAGCTGCTAGTCAATTCTCTGAAGTTTCCTTAATCTGAAAATGTCTTTATTTTGCCTCAATTCCTTAAGTGTCTAGATATATATCTTAGGGTATAGAACTCTTGGCTGAGTATTTGTCTGTTAGGTCTATAAAGACATTCTTTCATTTCCTCCTGACCACCATGGTTTCTGATGAGAAAGCTGTAATTATTTGCATCACAGTTTCTCTATATATATTGGTTTTCACAGGCTGCATCTAGTAACTTCTGTTTATCTTTGATTTTTTGAAGTTGTGTAATGATAAGTCTAGGTGTAATTTTCTTTAAATTTGTTCCGTTTGGGCTTACTAAAGTTGAATTTGTAAATTGACTTCTTTTACTAATGTGAGGAATTATGGCCATTATTTCTTCAAATGTTTTTCCTGCCCTAATCTCTCTCATGTCCTTTGAGCTCCAAATTCCACATAAAAAAAACTTTTAAAGGGTTTAAACTCACTGTGGCTCTGTTGTATTACAATTTTATTTGATCTTTTTTCTTTTCTGCTTTTTATAATGGGTAAATTGTATAATTTTACCATTTCTTTCCTCTTAATTGTGCCATTGATCCCATTAGTGAATTTTTATTTCATATTTATTATTTTTCCATATTAAAACATTTATTTCGTTTATTTTTTACATTTTCTATTTATCTGCTGAGATTCCCTGTCTTTTAATTGATTTTAAGGTAATTTCGCTTTGTTTCCTGAAACGTAGTTGTAATAGTTGCTTTATAATCCTTATATGTTAACTATAACCTGAATCATCTTGTGATTGGCATCTACTGATTGCCTTTCCCCCAGAGAATGATTTATATTTTGAGTATTCTAGTAATTTTTGATTTTATTCTGGATCTTCTGAATATTTTGCTGTGGTCCTTTGGAGAATGTTGGTTGTTTTGTTTTAGCAGGCAATCAACTCCCATAGATTCAGATTGTAAGCTGGGTCTCTTATGCTGTGTGCAGTGATTCAAATCTTGGCTCAGGTCCTTAGGCCTTTACTGGTATCGGTTTTGGATCAGTCCTACATGTGCATGGCTTAAGGGTTAATGGTTTCCCCTTACTTTCTAGTTTGCATGGGCTCCATTCCATGCTTCCTCTGGCTAGAATAGGGTTTCTAGTGGAGTTTTAGCATCCTATGCCTCTGTTCCTCTCCATTACTGTGGCTTTACCTTAGAATAAAGCTGCAAAAAGAAAAGGAAACTTACCTGGTGCAGGTTACTTTTACAAGTTTCAGCTTCCTGCTACATCCCTGCCTGTCTTTTTTAATATTCAGAATGCCCAGGTAGTTGTGTTTTTTTATTTTTTTAAATTCTTTTTGTATTTTTGTCCTAAGTTCATAGTTGCTCTCCGTTGGGAAGGTTGGACTGTAGGGGGTTACTGCCATGCTGAAACTAGAGCCAACTGTAGATTTCTGAGTTTTTTTTTTTTTTTTTCTATTCCTTGCATTAACTCTCTCCCTAGTATTTTTGTTTTGTTTTTCTTTCATGTTGGAAGTTTTCTTTAAATTTGGGTGTTCCTTCCATGCCCATTTAAATCCTTTATCTGTGGGGGGTGTGTGTGTGTGTGTGTGTGTGTGTGTGTGTGTATGTGTGTACTTGTTGATCTTGGTTTCAAAGTTTTATCATGTCTTGGTGAACCAGCCTTTTCTGTGGGGGCCTTCCAAATGTCAATGTCTGCAATTTAGTTAGGAAGCTATGGCAGTAGTTTAGGTAAAGGATAATAGTGGCTTGGATTAGGGTAGTGGCACTGAAGAGAAGTGGGTGGATGGATTCAAAGATGTGTGTGTATGCGTGTGTTTGAGTGTGTGCATTCAAATCAGCATTACAAATACTCATAAAGGTGAATTTGTGCTGAGAGGGAGGGGCAGGGTAGATTACTACCTGTGAATTTTTATTGGAGGCATCTTAAAATAGAAAGAGCTTGAATTTAGAGACAGTAAAACCTAGGTGTGAATCTTTTTGTCTTGTTCATTTTAGTTCCCATTGCAGACAAATGAAGTAATGAAATTCAAGTTTTTACATTTTTACTAGGAAATGCTAGTCATGTTGTTTTCTTTAAAAACCTCAGTATGGCAGTGTTTTTAAATTTTCTAGTGGATATGGCATTATAATGATCATTATAACTTGAAAATGGTATTATTTATACAAAAATAAAGAAATATGAACTTTTCAAAACAGAAAGCACCAGTCCTGAATGGGTTCATTGGAGAATTCTTCTGTCCTAGTCTGATTTTGTGCTGCCATAACAATACCACAGATTGTGTAGTTTATAAGAAAATAAATTGATTTCTCATAGTTCTGGATGCTGGGAAGTTCATTATTAAAGGTGCTGCCATCTGTTGAGGGCCTTCATGCCATGTCATCCTATGTCAAAAAGTAGAAAGGGAAGAGATTATGAGAGAGAAAGAAGAAGGGAGCTGAACTCACCTTTTATCAAGAACCTACTCCTGCCCTGATTACATTAATCCATTTATGAGGACAGAGCCATCATGACCAAATCAGCTCTTGGAGATTACACCTCTCAACATTGTTGCACTGGAGATTAAGTTTCCATCACGGGAGTTTTGGAGGACATTCTCAAACCATAGCATCTAACAATAATTTAAGGAAAAAATTATTTCAATTCGCTACAGTCTTTTCCAGAAAATTGAAGGCTAACTCATTCTCTGAGGCCAGCATTACCCTAATATCAAAGCCAGACAAGACATTGTAAGAAATCTACAGACCAATAGTTCTTATAAATACAGATGTAAAAGTCCTCAACAAAATAACAAGTAAAATCCAACAATGTGTAAAATTAATTATATGCCATGACCAAATGGGATTTATTCCAACTATGCAAGGCTGATTCAAGATTCAAAAATTAATTAATGTAATCCATTACATCAGTGGCTAAAGAAGAAAAATCACATGACGTATAACAGGTTCAGAAAAAGCATTAAAGTCCAACACCCATTCATGATAAAAATGCTGAGCAATCTAGTGATAGAGAAGAACATCTACTAAAAGCCTATATCAAACGTCATACTTTGTACTTAGTAATGAGAAACTGAAAGTTTTCCTGATTAGAACAAGAACCAGGCAAGGATGTCCTCTTGACTGCTTTTCAACATCATACTAGAAGTTCTAGCTCATGCAATATGACAAGGAAGGAAATAAAAGTTATAGATTGGGAAGGAAGAAATAGAATTGTCTTTGTTTACACAGGAGTTGATTATTTAGAAAATCTGAAAGAATTGACAAACCAAAATAAAACAGAACCCTCCTGGAACTAATAAGTGATTATAGCAAGATTGCAGGATAAATGGTTAATATACAAAAGACTGTTTTCCTAAATGCTAGCAATGAACAAGTGGAATGTGAAATTAAAAACATAATACTGTTAGCATCCCCCCAAAAGAAATACTTAAGTATAAATCTAACAAACTGTGGACAAGATCTATATGAGGAAAACTACAAAACTTTGAAAAAAAATCAACTAAATAAATGGAAAGATATTCCATGTTCATGGATAGATAGACTCAATATTGTCAAGATGCCAGTTCTTCACAACCTGACTTGGAGATGCAGTGAAATCCAAATTAAAATCCAAGCAAGCTATTTTGTGAATATTGACGCACAAATTCTATAATTTATATGGAGAGGCAACAGATTCAGTGTAGCCAACTCAATATTAAAGGAGAAGAACAGAGTTGGAGGGCTGACACTACCCAACTTCAAGAGTTAACTATAGATATATGGTAATCAAGACAATGTGGTGTTTGTGAAAAAACAGACAAATAGATTAGTGGAAGAGAATAGAGAACTCAGAAATAGGCCCACAAAATTAAAGTAAACTGGTTTTAACAAAGGAGTAAAGGCAACACAGTAAAGCAAAGATAGTCTTTTCAACAAATGGTGCTGGAACAGCTAGATCCCCATGCAAAAAAAAAAAAAAAAATGAACTTAAGCACAGACTTGTACACCCTCTACACAAATTAACTCAAAATGGATTACAGATCTAAATGTAAAAGGCAAAACTATAAAACTCCTAAAAGATAACATAAGAGAAAAGCTAGATGACCTTGGATGTGGTGATGACTTTTTAGAAAAAAAGAGGTGATAAGCTAGATTTCATTACAATTAAAAATTTCTGCTCTGTGAAAGATACTGCCAAGAAAATAAAAAGTCACAGCCTGGGAGAAAATCTTTGCAAAAGACGTCTGATAAAGGACTGCTATCCAAAATATACAAAGAATTCTCAAACTACAACCCTATTAAACAGGACAAAAACCTTAAGAGACACCTCACCACCGAAGATATACAGATGGCAAGTAAGCAAATGAAAAGATACTCTGCATCATTTTGAAATGATGGTTAAAACAACTAGTTACCACTACATACCTGTTACGATGGCCCAAATTCAGAACGCTGACAACAACAGATTCTTCTGAGGATGTGGAACAAGAACTCTCATTCATTGTTGGTGGGAGTCAGACTGATATAGCCACATGGGAAGATAGTTTGACAGTTTCTTATAAAGCTAAACATACTCTTACCATACTATCCAGTAGTCCAGTAGTCATGCTTCTTGATATTTACCCGAAGGAGTTGTAAGCTTACGGTCCATTCAAAAACATGCACATGTATGTTTATAGTAGCTTTATTCATATTTGCCAAAACTTTGAAGCAACTAAGATGGCCGTGAATAGGTGAATGGATAAACCGTGAGACATACAGAGAACAGATTATTATTCAGAACCAGAATGAAATGAGCTATCCAACTACAAAAAGACAGGGAGGAAATGTAAATGCATATTACTAAGTGAAAGAAGCCAGTCTGAAAAGGCTGTATACTATGTGATTTAAACTGTATGACATTCTGGAAAAACAAAACTAAGGAGACAGTAAAACGATCAGTGGTTGCCAGGTGTTAGTGTGGAGGGAGGGATGAATAGGTGGAGCACAGAGGATTTTTAGGACAGTGAAAGTACTCTGTATGATACTGTAATGGTGGATTCCTTATACTTTTGTCAAAACCCATGGAAACAGCGCCAAGAGTGACTCTAATGTAAACTATAGACTTTGGGTAACAATGATGTGTTATTGTAGGTTCATCAGTTATAATAAATGTATCACCGATGGGGGATGTTGTTAATGGGGGAGGCTTTGCCTGTGTTGGGGAAGGGGGTGTATGGGAAAGCTCTGTACCTTATGCGGACTTTTCCTGTGGATCTAAATCTCTAAGAAGTGAAGTCTGTTAAAAACGTGATTTGGTGAATCAGTATAGGGGGATACATGATTGCTAACTTTGAGAGAGGGAAACAGAAAGAGTGAGTGATAGTGTGTATATATGTGTTCGTCTTCGATATTCTGAAGTTATTCAAATTATGTGTTTAGATTTAGCGGCCAACTTTAGAGTTTTTGCTTTGGCATATAACACTTTGATGGATCAACCCCTTGACTATCATCTGTAGTGGTGTCTTGGCATTTGCTATGCTTCCTGGATGAATCACTAACAACAGTATGTCTAAGTAATTGATGTTACTGTATTTAGTTTTGCTTGAGTATTCTGTTGTTAGCTTCTCTGAGTTTGTTGAGGGAAGAATGAAACTTTCCATGAAGGAAGTTGGTGTTTCAGGCCTGGTCGTTACTGGTTTCAGCTCTTTGGTTTGCCTATGATAGACTGTGTTGACTTTTCCTTTATTCCTCTTGCTGAAGTCATACTTACTATGGCCTTGCCTCAGAATTTCTAGTTGTTAGAAGCTAGAAGTTTTAGTGATTAATGAGATGGGATTTGCACCTATTTCCCGCACCCAGTATTGTACCTGGAACATATTAGGCTTTTAGTAAATGTTAGCTGAATGATGGATGACTAATTGACTGAATGAAAATGCATGAATCGCAAAAAGAAAAAGAGGCGTAAAGAGATTAATAACACCAAGGTTATCCAGCTCATAGGTGGTGGATCTATATCTTAAATTTAGATTTCCTGACATCAAATCATGTTCTTTTTTTAGTTTATTCATTTAGCATCTAGCTTTTCTTCTAAAAATATGTGAAATTAAATAAGACAGTACATCATGCTAATTTTTAAAAAGGACAAAAGAATTCTTCTAACAGTAACTCTAACAATATTACATGGGGTTAATTGCTTTAATGCCCTTGCAAATGAAACTTAAACCAAACCAGTTACACACCGTCCAGCTTCAGTCCAGTCCCTGGGTCAGAGACAGTATCCGTAGCTCTGGATTTAGTTTTAGATAAGACTCTTTAAAGTTGGCTGAGGAGAATAAAGCCCCTTACAAAAGAAACAGAATGAATGGTTGAAGATAGAGGGAAAATCAGGAGGGAATAGTTATCAGGAAGCTAAAGAAAAACTAATTAGAAGTACAGTTAAGTGTGTTGGATATATTAAATATTTAAATAGTATGAGGACTGAAAATAGGCTTTTGGATTTAATAATTAGAAGGTCATTGTTTTCAGCGAGACGTTTGGGTGAAAGCCACATGGTAATGAATTGGTGAGGAAATAAAAGTACAGAAAATGGGAGTATATACATACATATATATTTCTTTTCAGGATGTTTATCACTAAAGGAAAGAAGGGAGCTATGGAAATAGTTCAAAAAGCAGAAGAAAAAGTATTTATTTTTAGCTGGGGGGAGGTTTTTTTTTTTTCTCTTTGAAGTATGGTGTGAATAGAATATACACGTGGGTAGGGAGAAAGAAGTCAGTGTTGAAAAGGAAGGAGAGAGAATTTAAAGAAAAAACAATCCTTTGGGAGGCAAGATCTTCTCTGTACAGTTGTCTGGCATTTGGGAGTGAAGAACATAAGTTAGGATGGATGCCATAATGCTAAGTTTAGAGCTGCAGAGGAGAGAAGTTGAAGGAATTTTTGCTTGAAAGCTTATTTTCCTCCATGAAGTAGGAAGCAAAGATTTTGACTGAGAGTCTCATGGTTAGAAGTGGAGACTGGTGGAATTGGAACACCTGCCATGGTGTCAGTGAACTCTTATGGCCTTGTTGGAACTGGAAACTAAATTTGCTGTGGCAGCCACCTACATAGTCACGTGATTTGTTGTCTTCCCTCCACCAGAAGGCAGTAGACAGACTTATCCCAAATTGAGTCTTAATGGGATAGATGTGGCCAAGGATAAGCGGACTAGAGAATTGAGGGTGCAGTTGAAGGTCATACAAGTTTTGCATTTTATAGTCCAGACTACATAGGATAGAAGGTAAAATCAGGTAGCAGGGAATAGAGGGCCCAGAGAATAGGCTCAGTGGAAGTAAGGAATGAAAAATGTTGAGGCCAGAAGGTTGGGATAAGGAACCAAGTTGTATGAATGTAATGTTTTTGGGAAGAAGCAGTTCTAGATGATGACCAGATCAGGGATTCTGTCAGAGGGTAGAGAACTGAGGTTTACTGGACCACTCAACTGTAGATATCCATCATTACTTTTTGTTTTGTGGCTGAGGTGTTAGGATGGTTTAGTTGTCTTGTATTACAGTAGGATTTAAGGTTGAGGGGATGATATTGTGGGTGGAGAGCTGGCTTATAAATCTTACTCACTGGGAATAATTTGGACTCCTGTCAATGCCACTGATAAGAATAGGGTGATAGAGAGTCTGGCAGGCTGTATGGACAGTGTGAATTTCAAAAGAGCCTCTTGATTTGGAATTGAAAATATCCAAGAAAATTTTCCTTGTCTTCTTGTTCCCAGATAAGAGGGAGAGATGTGAGGATTAGCACCCTTATTTGAGAGGGCTTTGAGGGATGTAGTGCCATTCATGGAAAGTTGGAGTTCAGTTAAATGTGGAGAGATCATTTTATAAAATGGCTGAAGGTATAGAGGAGTTAATCATCATATAGGGGTTCTAGAGATAGAGGGAAAATTTTTAGATACTGAATTGTAAAGTTTTAAATTAATGTATTTGTTTTTATACAATATATTCTACTTTCTTACTATATAGCATTTTGCTTTTTAAACTTTATTGAAAAATAATTTTAGACACAGAAAAATGGCAAAAATAATACAAAGAATTCCTGTGTATATTTTACCCAGTTTCCCCAAATAATATTTTATCACATTTGTTTTCTGATGAGTTCTTTACCTGTATTTGTATATAAGTACATTTTTTCTTGAAACATTTTAAAGTAAATGACAGAAATGATGTTTCTTTATATCTAAATGTTTCAGTGTGTATTTCCCAAAAACAAAGATGTTGTCTTATATAGAGTGCAGTTATCAAAATCTGTAGCATTGGTGCAATATTAAACATATTTCACCAGTTTTCCTACTAATGTCACATAGCAAAAGAAAAAACATTTTTATAAAAAATTGAGATCTGATCTGTGATTAAACATTACACTCAGTTATCAAGTCTCTTTACCTGGAACAGTTCTCTAAATTTTTTTTTTTTTGTCTTTCATTACATTAATGTTTTAGAAAGGTTCAGGTCAGTTATTTTGTAGCTCTGTTTTATTATACTTTCACTCACTGGTTTTAAAATTCATTGGTGGTTCTTGCCTTAAATAGTTATAACTTTAGTGGTTGTCAAATGGTGATTTCCTAATTCCATTTTTTTCTATGTTTATTAATTAGAATTCTGTAAGGAAGAGTTTTCTCTTGCTCCCCATCTATTCATTTATATCAGTATGAATTCATGGATTCATGTTTTATTCTATGAGTTATAATCTGATACTGTCATAATTTATTTTGAGGCTCAGATTATCCCAGATTTGGCCAGCAGGAGCCTGTTCCATCTGCTCTTGCATCCTTGTAACATGTTCTTGGCATTTTTGTACTTTCTTGCCATAGAGCATTCAGATAATGTGAATATGTCTGACTTCTAGAATTTAATTTGGGTTGAAGAAGCACTGTTTACACTTACACATGGGGCATCAGTGGGAGAAAACTGACCAACACAACAGTTACTGCCATAATGGCTTACTGCTACTGTGCTGGGTGCCTAATGAACATTTTCTCACAGAATTGCTTGTGGAAAGGTTGCTAGAGTCCTTTATTAGCCGGATTGTTGAATAAAGCAGTTGGAACTTTGGTGGCATGTTGCTCACAATGTGGGTGTGTTATCCTTACTGTGGGAGTTCTAAAGAATAAGTAGTTGCCGGCGCAGCAGCTCATGGTTGTAATCCCAGCGCCTTGGGAGGCCAACACAGGGGTATTGCTTGAGCCCAGGAGTTCAAGGCCAGCCTGGGTAACATAGCAAGACTTCAGCTCTACAAAAAAAATGTAATAAATTGACCAGATATGATGGTGCCTGCTTGTCCCAGATACTTGGGAGGCTGAGGCGGGAGGATTGCTTGAGCCCAGAAGTTAGAGGCTGTAGTGAGCTAGATTGTGCAACTGCACTCCAGCCTGGGCAACAGAGAAAGACCTTGCCTTAAAAAAAAAAAAAACCCAAAAACCAAAAAGCTCCCAAAGAATAGGTAGTATTGCTGTGAAAATAGAATACCATTTTAGATTATATAAATGAATATACAGTGTGGCTAATAACTAGTTACAGCAAAAGGGCACTATGAGGAAAAATCTTGTAACAAGTGGGAAAGAGAAAAAAAAAAGCCCTTATGAATCATTGTAACCTCTAAACTGGGTTTCATTAGAAAATCATCACCTTAAAGTGGATACATGCTGGTATTTACTCTATGTATTATTAGTGTTAAATTATTGATGGCAACCAACATCATATCTGTGTTTATGTACTTGACTTTCTTGTAAAGACGAAAATGATTATCAGAGGTTTTTGAATGGTTGTAGAATCTGTGATGATCTTGTTTATCATCATGGAGAAATCTAACAAATATGAGTTTTCTAACTTGTAGAAACTTATTCCTTTAAGCACAGATGGAAATCTCTTTAACATGTTACCTTCTGTCCTACATTAAAAACAGAAAGATATGTTCCTTTCTTTATCCCTATTCTAGGGAACTTGGAAAAAATACAGAAGAGTGAAAAAGAAAAAAGAAAATACAACTTGTAAGCAACCATGTTACCTATTTCGTCTATTAACAGTCATTTAAAAACTTAACATGTTTGTCTTATTTAAAATTGGAATAATATATGATTCTCACAGACACACACAGACACAACTCTGTTACTTCTTTAACATCTTTTCATGAACATTTCCTTATACTATTAAATATTCTTTCAAAACACCATTTTAAATGGCTATATAATATTTTATTGTCTTGATACGGTGAGTTTGTTTAACTCTTCTATTTTGGACAAGTAGTTGTTTTTTCCAGTTTCCTATTATTGTAACATCATGATGAACAACATTAGAAAGAAATCTTGTTTAAGTTTCTCGTTAGTTCCCTAGGGTATAGTTTTAAAATGGGAAGTGTTAGGCTGACATGTGTGTTTTGTGTTTGAAAAATAAGCGATATATACTTTATTTTTAAAAAATATAGGCAGTACATATAAGTATAAAGAGACAAGCAGTCTAGGCACCCAGATCTTACCAACCAGTAATAACCTATGTTAACATTTGGTGAACATCATCTTATTCATGCTTACATATAGACAGACAGGAATAATTTCATAATTATGGGATTGTGCTATTTTAAAAAACAAAAATTTAAATTATTATTTTGTTTGAATTTAATAACAAGGGAAAAATACCTTAAGATCTAGGTAAATGTTGAACTCTAGGTAAAGGTTTCTTTGCCACAAAAATCTTAGGTTCTGTAAGAGTTCACTAAAATTGGGAAAATAGTTTATAAAAAACAGTAAGAAATCGGAGTATTTTTTAAAACTGCATGTTTAAAATTTAGATGAGATATGAAATCCCTGCCATGAAAGATGAAGTTGAGTGCTGTTCATACGTTTTGTCATCTCTTTCTTCAGTTCTGAATTTTATGTTGTATTTTTGCTTTTTTAGGGCATATAATATTTGCTTTCTGTTTACCAGAAGTTAGTCTTTAGCTCTATGTTTAACCTTAGTTCTATATTTAAATGGATTCAGTGCTTACCATTATATCTTTTCCATGGATTTTCTGTTTCTGTGTTTTTTGTTCTGATTGAGTTTTTTTTTTTTTTTTTTTTTTTTGAGACGGAGTCTCGCTCTGTCGCCCAGGCTGGAGTGCAGTGGCGGGATCTCGGCTCACTGCAAGCTCCGCCTCCCGGGTTCACGCCATTCTCCTGCCTCAGCCTCCCAAGTAGCTGGGACTACAGGCGCCCGCCACTACGCCCGGCTAATTTTTTTGTATTTTTAGTAGAGACGGGGTTTCACCGTTTTAGCCGGGATGGTCTCGATCTCCTGACCTCGTGATCCGCCCGCCTCGGCCTCCCAAAGTGCTGGGATTACAGGCGTGAGCCACCGCGCCCGGCCTCTGATTGAGTTTTTAGTTGTCTTGTTTTCATCATGGGGTAGTTGCTTTTTCAAGGACACATGGGTGCTGTGTATTCTGTCTTCTTTCATGTTTAAAAATGTCTATTCGTGGAATACAACTTGTCAGGATCAACTTTTTTTAAAATTTAAATATTAAAACTATGAAACACTTCAAACATAAAGTAAAAGATAGTTCTATATCCACCGTGGACATAATAGATGTTAACATCTTGCTGTATTTGTTTGAGATCTTGAACTTTTTTTTTTTTAAGAAATGAAATAAAGTTTTACATTCTATGCTTTTCCTCATCTCTTAATCCCTTTAACATTATCCTGAAGTTGATATTTATCATTTTTGTGAATGTTTTTCTGCTTTTCTTTGAATACTTACATGTATGCCTTATTATAATGTATATTTTAGTTTTAGATTATGTGAAAATGTATTTGTTTTAGTATTCTGTTTTATACTTTTTGAGCTTGCTTTATTCATTTAGTATGTTTTGAAGATTTATCTGTGATGGTTAATACAGATCTAATTAGTCTTATAAATCATGGGATAATAGTTATTTATTGCCTACTGGCTAGAAAGTTGTTTTAAGTTTCTTACTATTACAAATATTGCTGCCTTGAACATTCTTGTACATGCCTCTTTATTTCCATGTGAGAATTTCCTAGTATTAACATTTAGAAGTAGAACTGTTGGGTCCTGCACACTTTTACCTTTACTAGTGTTACTGGAAAGGGGTCTGGATCAGAGAGCGTTCTTAGATCTCGTGCAAGAAAGAAATCAGGGTGAGTCCATAGAGTAAAGTGAAAGCAAGTTTATTAGAGAAGTAAAGAATCAAAAGAATAGCCCTCAGGGCTGCTGGTTGCTCATATTTATTGTTATTTCTTGATTATATGCTAAACAATGGGTGGATCATTCATGCCTCCCCTTTTTAGACCACATAGGGTAACTTCCTGACGTTGCCATGGCATTTGTAAACTGTCAAGATGCTTGCTGGTGGGAGTGTAGTAGTGAGGACGACCAGAGGTCACTCTCTTCGCCATCTTGGTTTTGGTGGGGTTTAGCCGGCTTCTTTACTGCAGACTGTTTTATTAACAAGGTCTTTATGACCTGTAACTTGTGCCAACCTTTTATCTCATCCTGTGACTAAGAATGCCTTAACCTTTTGGGAATGCAGCCCAGTAGGTCTCAGTCTCATTTTACCCAGTTCCTATTCAAGATGGAGTTGCTCTGGTTCAAACATCTCTGACAGTAGGAATTACCAGATTGTTCTTCAAGGTGATTCAATTAACTTATACTCTTACTAGCAATAATTCAACTCCAACTCTCTTCTTTTCCAACATGCAGTTTTACTTCCTTCATTACTAGAAATATTTTATTTGTATTGATTTACATTTCTTCTGTGTGCTGTTGTTTTATGTGTTTTGTGTAATAAAATTATTCTAGAGTTAGCATTTTTTTTTAATTTAAACATTAAAACTATGTAACCCAAAAAGTATCTGAAACAGGTCTCAATTAATTTAGGAATTTATTTTGTCAAGCTTAAAGACATGCCAGTGACACAGCCTCAGGAGGTCCTGACAACATGTGCTCAGGGTGGTTGGCCTACAACTTGCTTGTATACATTTTAGAGAGACATAAGATATCAATCAGTATGTGTAAGATGTACATTTATTTGGTTTGGAAAGGTGGGACAATGGGTAGGGGGGCAGTGGAGAGTGGGGACTTCAGGTCATAGGTGGATTAATAGATCTTCTGATTGGCAATTGGTTGAGTTATTATCTAAAGACTTGGAATCAGTAGAAAGAAGTTATGATAAGAGGTTGTGGAGACCAAGGTTTGATCATTCAGATGAAGCCACCAAGTAACAGGCTTCAGAGAGAATAGATTATAAATGCTTCTTATCAGACCTACAGAGTCTGTTCTGTCAGCCTTAAGGTCTGTTTTGATTTTAATGGTAAAGAGGCATGTCTGCTCCCTCTTCTCATCATGGCCTGAATTAGTTTTACAGGTTAACTTTGGAAGGCCCTTGGCCAAGGGGAGGAGTTGTATTGGCGTTCTCTAGAGGAACAGAACTAATAGGATGTATATTATCGATATATATATATATAGAGAGAGAGAGAGAGAAGTTTATTAACTCACACGATCACAAGGTCCCACAGTAGGCCTTGCATCTGCAAGCTGAGTAGCAAGGAGAGCTGTTCTGAGTCCCAAAACTGAAGAAGTTGGAGTCTGATGTTTGAGGGCAGGAAGCATCCAGCACAGGAAAAAGATGTAAGCAGGGCAGCTAGGCCAGTCTCATCTTTTCACATTTTTCTGCCTGCTTTATATTCTAGCTGCGCTGGCAGTTGATTAGATGGTGCCCACTCAGATTAAGGGTGGGTCTGCCTCTCCCAGCCCACTGACTCAAATGTTAATCTCCTTTGGCAACACCGTCACACCCAGAATCAATACTTTGCATACTTCAACCAAGTTGACACTCAGTATTAACTATCACAGGAGTCCATTCAGATGGTTGGGGGGCTTAGAATTTTATGTTTGGTTTATACAAATCTGCATAAAAAGTTGTCCCTTTTGTGATCTATTTTTGTTCTTTTTTGTATGTTTTTTAAGAGTGTACTTTTTTTTTGACAGGCAGAAGTCCTGTATATGAACATTTGCTATTATTGCTGTGTTGTAAGTCACTGATGCTTTTTCCATCAGTGTATTAAAAGTATTAGGCAGTTAATCCCTAATCCACTGACCGTAGCCTACTCTTTGATTCTGTGATGGGAGAAGGTGAGCCCATGGTGATTTTTTTTGTTTTTTTTTTTTTGACCCTTTTTACTTTTGGCTGTGTAGGAGCCAAGGGAAAACTACTTCCCCATTGCCTTCCGAAAGTTCTCTGAAAAATCAGCTGACTAAAGGCAGCTTAATAGGAAAAATGGAGTAAAAATTTATGAAGATACACACAGGGGAGAACCACAGAGTGATTACTGCCAACCCCACAATGGATTCAGAAGCTTATATACCATCTTGAGGTTATAGAAAGAATGGGGCTTGGATTGTGGGCAAAATAGGTTATAGTGGCAAAACAGGTAATGGGATGGAGAGAAGAGGAGGACTTGGCTATCAAAGATGGTCTTATTGGCCGGGTGCGGTGGCTCATGCTTGTAAGCTTGCAATCCCAGCACTTTCGGAGTCTGAGGCAGGCGGATCACCTGAAGTCAGGAGTTCGAGACCAGCCTGGCCAACATAGTGAAACCCTGTCTCTACTAAAAATACAAAAATTACCCAGGTCTGGTGGCACACACCTGTAATCTCAGCTACTTGGGAGGCTGAGGCAGGATAATAGCTTTAACCTGGGAGGCAGAGGTTGCAGTGAGCTGAGATCTTGCCACTTCACTCAAGCCTGGGTGACAGAGCGAGACTCTGTCTCAAAAAAAAAAAAAAAAAAGGTGGCCTTGTTATATAGATGAAACCTCATGGGTTGCAGCCCTCAGACAACAGATGGTGAATGTTTGTTTTAGACTTTAAAGGTGTCAGACTCTCAGTTAAACTTTCCTGGATTGGACAACGGAAGGCCCTCAGAGAAGGCCTGGCTGCATCAATGTAGATTTTCTCTATAAATGGAAATCTCCCACAAAAGATAGCTTTTCAGGGCTACTTCTATTTGCAGGCCCTCTGAATAGCAATCTCAAATTATGTCAAAGACGTATAATTTGGGGTACAGTATTTTGATTTCCTTAGCTTTCTCATCTAGCTATGGTAAGCATGGCCATCACAAAAGTAGTAGTTATTATAAAGACTTGGGTGATGTGGGGTTGGCATTTACATTCTTCTTTGGGATATATATTCAGTGACCTGTAGTTTTCAGAAACCATTGTTTAATTTAGTAAACTTTTAGGGTCAGATATTTACTTACTAAATTATGGTGACTGCCTCGTAACAGTTGAATGATGAAATATTTCAGGTTTATATATGTAAAGCACTGTGGGAATCATAGAAATCTGTGAGGTGTGTGATACTGAATCTTGAGGTGTTCAGTGCATATTGCATCCATTATTTGACAAGCTCCCATTTCCATGAGGGAAAAACTCTAGGAGGCCTAGAGGACAGTATATTTAATATGAAGCCAATTCTATGCCCTAAACTCTGCTAGCTAATTTAGGGGATACCAAGATGAACAAAGCATATTTCCTAAATATCAAAAGCTTATGATCTGATTGGGAAGGCAGACGTATTCCCAAATCTAATTAGAGATTGCGAGGTGTCCCTAAGACCCCAGGGGCTCAGAAAGCAGCACAGACTTGCAAGTGAATGTTTCCTGGAAGGAAATGGTTGCAGTTAGAATTTACTAGTTCTTGTTTTCTGTTCTCCCTAAATAGTTTTGCTTTTAAAACCTCTTAATGTTCAGATTCTGATTGCTGAATATTTTGATATTTTTCTATGCTTTAATGTGTGAGACTTCAGTCTTTTAGAATTATGCATATATTCTTTGCACAATTTTACTTTTAAAACTTTACCAGCCACCCCATTTTTGACTAATTTTTGTTACATGCAAATCAGAAACTTTCTGGAGAATCTGTCAAAATGTCCTTACTTAATTTGATTAAGGCAACAAAACCTTTGATTACCAGTTACCATTATCATTATATTGTCAATGCCTTTGTTGGATAGAATACTACTACGTTAGCTTGTGAAAACCAAAGCATTGGAATATTTTGAAGACTTAAAAATTTAAATTGTTTTATAAATTCAAACACTATCATTTAAAATGTCTTCTGCTTTTAAAAAATGCATCGAAGCAGCTTTGTTATCAAGCACATGGGCTTGCCGTTGCTGCCTATGGATGCACAGAGACCAATAGTATGTGGCACTGGCTTTTGAGGAAAAAAAAAAAGGCTTTATTGCAAAACTGGTAAGTGAGAAAATAGGAACAGATTCAAATCTGTCTCCCCAGTTTAGGTTCTAAGGCAACTCTTAAGGGATCAGAGGGCCAGGAAAAGGATTTAGGAATGTTGGCTTGGCAGGGTCTGATTGGAGAGCTGCACATTTGACCATTTGTGGAAAGGTATATTGATGCAGATTGTAGCCTCAGATCTTCTGGGCCAATGAACCCTTTTTTTTGGTCACATCCCAGTCTTCTTGGTTCTGAGGGGAGGATTCTTTGGTTGTGGGGATTGTTAGAAATCAAGCTTTTTCTATTGCACATGACCAGGCTACATGTCTTGCAGTCTCTGAATCTGTTACACCTAAAAGGTACTTGACATTTTGTTATTGACAGAGTAGGCCCAGTTTGGGCTGGTCCTGTGGTTGTAGCTTCTCTATTTGGGTTTCTAAATTATGGTCTCCAAGCCACTTAAGGAGGAAAATCTTAAAAACCAGGATTACTCTGTGTTGTCATTTTATTAAAACATAATTTGATGGAAGCCATATTTGTCTTGGAAATTAGCTTGGTTAATTTACATGAATATTAAAATGTGCCATGGTCTTTACTATAATTGGATCATTTTAGGTTACCTTATCACCTACCTTTGACCCAGGTATCCTGCCCAGGAGGAGAGCCATGCTGGCTGGGTACCAACCAGTTGCCATGCCAAAGGAGTATCCTGATTAATGTAGTTGGGGTTAGCCTTGGAGTCAGGTGGGCTAATTCCCACAGAAATTACTGTGGACTTACAATGAAAGAGTTATGGAAAGGATTTTAGGGAGACAGTCACATGTCTACTTTGTTTAACACACAGCATAGTCACCAGCAAATATTCAAAAAGTTCCATGCCTTAATGAAATCAAGATATTATACTATGGAGAGACACAAACTCAAGTTAGTTGCCAGACTTCAAAAAATGTCATCTTTTAAAAGTAAACTTAAAATATATCTAACACATATTGTGATATAAAACTACAAAAAGTGAGCTGAACATCATCCCATGATGAAACATATAGATATTAATGACATACATTGTGGGCTTTTCATGATAAATTGATGGGAGCTAGATTGTTGGATTTTCAGAAGACTTTGAGAGGGTGAGTGGAGCCCAGCAGGGAGCAGCGTCCTGGAAGATAGACAACCTTAGAGGAAAGAAAGTGTGAGAAGGTGTCAACCCAGCACACTCATGTTTTCCTCTCCTTTATGTTAGTTTTTTTCTCTTCTTTTTTTTTTTTCCATTAAGGATTAGGAGATCAGCAAGCTATTAATATGTTCAGATCGCATTGACCTATTGATAAAAAGTCATAATTGTAGGACAGATTTGTAAATACTTTTTTTCTTGGCTAAGATCTGAGTAAGGTAAATAGAATTTTGAAGAGAGTATGTTTTTGTTGATATTTTGTAAGATTTCAAGAAGCATATCTCTTTTAATTAAAGCAGTGTAAACACAACTAATGAATGTGCCATATAGAGCATGTTGTATTCCATGAGGGAATCTTGGTATTTAGTATATTTATGTTGCAGTTTTAACACATGAAAAGGAATTTGACCAGAGTTGTGATTCTTTTTTAAATAGAAATTTATATAAGATCTTTATCCCACCCATTTGGCTTCTTTGTTTTGAGAAGTTAATGTTCTCCAGCCCTCTCTCCTTTAATGTATTAGGTTGGTGCAAAAGTAATTGTGGTTTTGCCATTAAAAGTAATGGCAACATATTAAGAAAAGTAGTACTAGCTGTTAGAGATGGCAGAATACTTGTGTTAGCAAGGTTCTTCTCTCTCAGGGCTTTCCATCTTATGTCATTATGACTGGTGACCTATATTATATTTTCTTTAAATTTTAACGGAAGCTGAAGCAGAGTACTTTGGGGGACTTACTTTTATTTAATATTTTCACAGTGTTCAGCAAGACAGACATAACCTCCACTTTTGGAGAGCTGTTACTTTAGCTGGGAAAAAGGTTGTAAATGAGTGATTATATAAATAAAATTGCTATTGTGATAAGTACTCTGAAGAACAGGGTTAAAGTTAAGATTATATCAAAGAGTTCTAATCTACATTTGGGAGACAAGAAAGGCTTTCCTCAGAACTTGATTTTAAACTGAAATCTGAACAATATGTAGAGTTAGCTAAGCAGTGAGGGTTAGGAGGAAAATAGTTGAACATATATAAATACAGATTCCTTTTTTGTATGTGATTATGCTTAGTGTTATTTAAAGCAAAGGATTAGTGAGTGGTTATACAGTCCTGGAGCTCAGAAAAACAGTCTAGTCTGACAATAAAGTTTTGTTTTCTGTTCTTTCATCACTTCTTGCCTGCTTAATTATCCCCCCCTTACATTTTTTTAAAAAGATACTCTTTCTGATTTGCATTCTTCGAAGTTGTTTGGTTACAATTCCAGATTATATCATTTTCAATAGCAGTTGAGCATCTGGATTGGAGCTCATGGTGCTCTTTGTGTAGACCATAAAATACAGTCATGTGTGGCTGAACAATGGGGATATGCTCTGAGAATGCAATAGGTGATTTCATCTCATTGGGTGAACATCGTAGACTAATTTCACAAACCTAGATGGTATAGCCTACTACATACCTTGGCCGTATGGTATAGCCTACTGCTCCTAGGCTATAAACTTGTACAGCATGTTACTGTACTGAATACTGTTGTAACACAATGGTGAGTATTTGTATATATAAACATAGAACAAGTACAGTAAAAGTTTGATATAATCTTATGAGGCCACTATCTTATATGTGTCCCATCGTTGAACTAAACGTCATTATGTGGCATACAACTGTACAGATATGTTCTGTCATACTAACAAGAAATGTTTTTACTAGCAGAAGATATACCTGTGTTATATTATAAAATTTAAAACCACATCACTTTGTTTTCAAAACAAGAAGCTGAAAATTAGGCATGATTTGCTAACTTGCAGCTTTTACATTAATATTTATTTTCAGCTTATAGATTTGTTTCCTAATGGTTCATATTTTTGCTTTGTCATATGCTAGCTCCCACTAGCAGGAAAGTGTCTAGAGACAGCAGAGGTTTAGTGGAAAAGACATTTGGAAAATAACCCTAAATTTAAGAAAATTCTAATTTGCCAAATTGAGTGTTTATATGAGAACGACTGCCATAAGTCAGTTTTATTGGTAGAAAATCTAGCTCAGTATGCTGAGCAGCACTATTTAATGGGTACATTTCTTCTGAGCTGTAGGTTTAGAACACTTAGGCTGTCTGCAGAGATCTCTTATCACCTGCTATTAATTCCTAGGAGCACAGATGAGGTAGCTCACCTTCTTCTTGGGTAACTTCAATGAGTAGCTTGACTCTGCTATTTGATTTTATTGTAATTCTAATCTGTTTTTTTTTTCCCCTAAATCAGGTGTTAAAAAGGTGACACAGAATGATATACTCTAAGGTTTTTCTTTTTTTTTTTTTGGGTGGGGGGCAGGGGTCATAGTATCTTAGAGTTAGAAGGAGCCTTTGTCATCTGCTCTAATATTCCACTGAGGACAAGAGGTTCATGATATATAGATTGACTATTTAATTTTACAAAATTGGAACATGATGAATTGGGTGGGACCCTGGAACAACAAGTATAAAGTGGAAGTATCTTGGGAAAAACAGGTGTATGCTCACTCTAGTTATACCACAGCCTTGCCAGATCATCATCCAAACTCTGCATGAAAGTATTTGTTGCTTCACTAAAAATCTAGTGCCATGGGTAGCTCCAATAGTAAAAAAGTTTTTGTTTTGTTTTGTTTTGTTTTTTGGAGACAGAGTCTCACTTTGTCACCCAGGCTGGGGTGCAGCGGTGCGATCACTGCTCACTGCAGCCTCCACCTTCCGGGCTCAGGTTATCCTCCTGCCTCAGCCTCCCAAGTAGCTAGGTCTACTTATTATTTGTAGAGACAGGGTCTCCTTGTGTTGCCCAGGCTGGTCTTGAATTCCTGGGCTCCAGTGATCCTCCCATCTTGGCCTCCCAAAGGGATTACAAGGTGTGAGCCACTACACTCAGCCAAGTTTTTTATTGAGCTAATATTTATCTCATTGCAATGACTCTTATTCCTGGATCTGCCCTCTGATGCTAAATATAGTAATAATATGATAGTATACATATTCATTGGTTTTTTAGATCACTTTTTTTTACTACTTTAAAAATGATTTTTTAAAAATTACAGTTCTCTTCCTGTAGGTCTAACCTACATCCAAATTAAAACAGAAAAGAAACAAGAAGAGGTCACATTGCTGGCTGACCCACCAGACTCTAATGTAGTGCACTGCTTGCCAAGCAACACTTGATAGCACATCTACACATTCTTATCTTGGTTCTTTTAGAGAACATTCAGTGAGGTCTCTAGCTTCTCAAAAGGAAAGCATCCAGTTATTACATTAATGTTTTATCACCTTAAGATAGAATGAAAGGTTATTATATAGGATACATGCCAATAAAAGTAAAAGAAACAATCTTTATGCACTGGAAGGCTGTACTTCCAGCTAGAGTTAATCATAATGCTTACAGTTTTCTTGTTATTAAAAATGCTCAGTATATATCTATAAAGACTAGCCACAAATGCTTTTAAGAGAGCTCTGTTGTCATTTTTTTTTCTTTAGACAAAAAACAATTTCGGTTCATTCACTATACAACTTTTCACCACCCTGGTTGATACATTAAAGACAGTTTTGTTTTCATGTGCTATATTGCCCACAGTTTTTCAGGAGGCTCATAAGTAGGAAGAGCAGGAATGATGGCTTTTGAGGTGATGTATAAATAGGGCACAGAGCTTAGGCATCACTGTATACAAGTAGGTCCCCTCCTCTCCTGTCTCCCCTCTCCTCCCTTTTTTGCTGTTTAGATGATTGTTAATGAATGTCAAATAGAACCATTGGAGAACATGATTAAGAAAAATTATTCTCAAGTAGAATTGTCTAATTTGATAAATATGACTTTATTTTAACCCTCGTGATGGATTTGTTTAAAAGGCAGTCAAAGTTGGTTAATTCACAGAGGCAATTTTATTGCCGGCAAAGATATCAAAATTACAGAATTTTATTTAAAGTAAATTGAAAGTTATATATGCTACAGTAGGCAGAGGTTGTTGACTGAGTTAGTGGGTTTTACTGTTGATGCATGGTAATATTCACATATTATAATTTTGTCAAAACCGTAGGTGTTAGCTAGGGCAGTTGAAATAAATTAGGGCATGTTTTATAGGCTCCAAAGCTTTATTTTGGAGCTTATATATAAAAGTGTTTGTAGTTATTCCTTTCATTTTAGTTATTTGAGTAAATTTTGACAGTTTTTGAAAGTAAGTTGGTCATTCTGGGGAGCACATTTATGTATTCAATGTAGTAAAGAGTGTTTTTTTTGAGAAACTGGAAGAGTGCTGTTTTGCATATAAGATTTTTCGTTTGTAAAGCTCGCTGTATCTGCATTTGCAGCTTTAATAAGAGATGTGGAAAAGTGGTTTTCCCTTTTTGACACCTTCACAATTAATTGTTTAGGTGATATTAACAAGTAGACATCTGTATTAACTTTTATTGGGCTTACCTTGCTGATCTAACATTTTTGGTCTTAAAATATTATCAGTTAAAGATAATTAAGTGAGGAATTCTCCTGGGTACCATGTAGTAGGAAGACATGGGAGACGGATGGTAATACCAAGTGCAACATGTCACTAGTCAAGAGGGTAGTCATTTAGTGCCTACTTGGAAAAGTGCTGCAAGAAATATAAACTTCATTAGGCTCATAATCATAAAATTCACTTACGATTATTTGGTTTTTGAATTCAATTTATGTGAATTGATCTCATTATGTAAATCTTAATGTTATGATGTTTGTGGAAAGAGTGGTCTTAGTAACTTCATAAATGATTTTAGGCATGGTTATGACAGTTTTGTTAAGTTATAATACATTCACTATCTCACAAAAATGTTTTGCTAGTGTGATCATTTACCAAGACATGGAAAAAGCAATGTGTAGTAAATTGACCTCTTGTTTTACTTTGCATTTACTTATTTATTTCAGAGATGAGTGACTACTGATTGGATTGTTAGAGAGTACCACATAATTTCTCTTTAAGGTGATGAAATAAACTAAATAAAAGGGAAGAAGTGGGAGAATAGTATTTGTTAAATCCTTCAGTGTGTTGGTTGTTATATTAGATGCTTTCCAAATATTATTTTACAAGCCTATGAGGATTTTGGCTGCATTCAGAGCTAATAGGTGAACACTAAGACATGGAGAAGATTTTATCAGAGGTCCTAAAAGGTAGAGCAAAAATTTACATGCTGATCTTTCTTTTTTCTTTCTTTCTTTTTTCTTTTTAAGACACTGTCTTACCCTGTCATCCAGGCTGGAGTGCAGTAGCGTGGTCACGGCTCACTGCAGCCTCATCCTCCTAGGCTCAAGTGATTCTCCCACCTCAGCCTCCTTAGTAACTGGGACTACAGTCACATGCCAGACTTGACCATTTTTTGTATTTTTTGGTAGAGATTGGGTTTCACCATATTGCCCAGGCTGGTCTTGAACACCTGAGCTCGAGCAGTCCGCTTCCCTCAGCCTCCCAAAGTGCTGGGATTACAGGTGCCAGCCACTGTGCCCAGTCCAACATGCTGTTCTTTCTAAATTCCAAAATTCATGTTCATTTTGCTACATCACATTCAAATTGGTATGTATACTAGCTTTGTGACAAAATTTATTTGGGAGATTATTTTTAACATTGAATTTCTTAGAGTAACAGGAATAAATTAAAATATGAAAATTAAATAATATGGAAAACTAGTAGTTTCTTTTGAAATAGAGATTCCAGTTTTAAAAGTATCTTAAAAATTTTTAATAAGACTTTTTGCCAAATATATTTAAGGATCAAAGTACTTCTTGATGAATCACTTTTTATCGTATTGATGCCTTTGACTCATCTTAGTTTGTCTGCATGTAGTTATTACCAATTCGTGAGGAATGGCCATTTCAAAGTTTACCATAAATGAAGTAAAACGTCTTCAGTCACACTGCTTGGCTTTAATTCCTTACTCTACTCTTTCTTACTGTTGTGACATATGGCAAGTTACTTTAGCTTCTGCACTTCCTGTTTGTTGTTTTCCTTTTATTGGTGATAATAACAGTCTCTGTCTCCTAGGATCTCCTAGGTTGTTGTGGAGATTCAGTTAAGTAATTCAAGATCTCAACATTTTATTAGCATTTATTAACTCTCAAGGAATTTGTTGAGACGAAGAGCATTTGCTAGAATTTTATATACACATCAACTTATTTTGCTTTAGTAATTTTTTTGTTGGTTTGTTTGTTTTTGAGACGGAGTCTCGCTCTGTCACTTTGACAATGTCAAGGCTGGAGTGCATTGGCGCAATTTTGGCTCATTGCAACCTCTGCCTCCCGGGTTCAAGCAATTCTCCTGCCTCAGCCACCCGAGTAGCTGGGATTACAGGTGTGCGACACCACACTCAGCTAATTTTTGTATTTTTAGTAGAGATAGGGCTTCACCATGTTGGCCAGGCTGGTCTCAAACTCCTGGCCTCAAGTGATCCACCCACCTTGGCCTCCCAATGTGCTGGTATTACAGGTGTGAGCCACTGTGCCCAGCCTTGCTTTAATAATTTTTTTTGTACTTGGGAAAACCTACTTAGCGTACTCCACATTTTTAGAATGTTTATCTGTTTTATTCCATTTCATTAATTCAGCTTTCATTTCTGATTATTCTAGATTCACACATTTTTTCAGGAGGCTCATAAGTAGGAAGAGATGGTAGTAGAGATGGTATTGTGGCTATGTTATTAGGATTTTTGCTTTTCTTTGTAGTATGTAATAACTCTACTGTTACAATTGCATACTTCCTCTTCCCCGTAGCACCAAACCTTCTCCTTCTACAGTCTCTCCGATTTCAATAAATGGCTTCAATAGGCCAGAAACCTTGGAGTCTTCTTTTGGTACCTGATTTTAAAATTACAGTAGGCCCCCTTATCCAAGGGATGTGGTAGACCTTTGATATCTACTTTAGGATCATATGAATTTGTATTTATTTTGAATCATGATATTTTCTTTGTAAATTCTTAATTTGACCTTCCTCTTTATTGTAAAGAAACTGAAAATTCTGAACTTCTTAATAACTAAGTCTTTACAAATTGTTTTTTAAAAACTTTGAAATACTAGTGTGATTTTGTATACTATCTAAAAATGCCATTTTCTTTGTGTTTGGCCAAAAAGCGATACTGTGTCTGAAATGATAAAATCAGCTTAAAATTTAAAAAATAATTAGCATTACATTAATGTTTTGTTTTTCTTTTGTTCTCTTAGCTTCTTAATGAAGAGGATAACTCAGAATCATCGGCTATAGAGCAGCCACCTACTTCAAACCCAGCACCGCAGATTGTGCAGGCTGCGTCTTCAGCACCAGCACTTGAAACTGACTCTTCCCCTCCACCATATAGTAGTATTACTGTGGAAGTACCTACAACTTCAGGTATGAAACATCTAGTAATGTTTTTATTAGTTCTTTTTTTTTTTTGACATTTTGGTTTTGTGTAATTATCATGTCTGTTAATGGGCTTATAAACATATATACACATGGATATTTATATATGTATATACATACTGTGTGCACATATAAATATACAGATGTATACACACATATATATGTGTGTATGTATATATGTGTACGTACTTATATAACCATAAAACAAGATGATGGTGAGTGTGAATGAGAATGTGGTATATGTGACTGTAGGTGAAGGGTGTACGTAGTGATATCCCATACATATGATAATTACTGAATACAAGGCAATAATTCCTGTTTGCTACTGTTCATCTTATTCAGGTCACTCTAAAGAACTAATCTATTTTTCTGGCTACAATTTTTATTTCCTAAGCAATGATTAATTATTCAGTTTGATCAGTTTTGTATACCAGTGTGATTTAGTATACTATCTGATGATTCTTTAATTTTATATGTGATTATAACTTCTCTAGTCTAATAATTTCTAAATAAATTCTAAATAACTTCTCTAAATATTTTATATACTCATTATGAAACATTTTCATTTTAAAAATCAGTTACTGAAAAATATTTTAACAGAAAAAATTTTTCACTAGAACTTTTCATCTTATTCTGTATTTAACATCATCTACTGCTCTCAAATTAATGCCAGCTTTCTCTGGTTAGCATTTTTGCATTTGGAATGTGTAAACTCAATATTTCTTCTACCAAATTCATTTACTTTTTTTGTGTAGTTACTGAAAATCATTTTTTCATGGTGTCCTCACTAATGAAGCTAATACATGCTTACTCCTTTTATTTGGTTTTCGTTTTGCTTTTTTTTTTTTTTTTTGAGACGGAGTCTTACTCTGTCGCCCAGGCTGGAGTGTGCAGTGGCCCAATCTCGGCTCACTGCAAGCTCTGCCTTCCAGGTTCACGCCATTCTCCTGCCTCAGCCTCCCAAGTAGCTGGGACTACAGGCGCCCACGACCACGCCTGGCTAATTTCATTTTTGTATTCTTAGTAGAGACAGGGTTTCACCATGTTAGCCAGGATGGTCTCTATCTCCTGACCTCGTGATCCACCTGCCTCAGCCTCCCAAAGTGCTGGGATTACAGGCGTGAGCCACCGTGCCTGGCCTACTCCTTTTATTTGTATAAAATGTTTATTTGATGATTATGCTTGCTCATTGCCCAGTTTTATGCACAGTTTTTATGTTGATAACAATTTTGTCTTTAGCTATAAGATTTAACAGCTGGTTTGATGCCTGTTAAAATTTATTATATGCTAAATAGTAATTCTTCAATATTTTACAAGTTTTCACAATATAATAATAAGACTTTGCTACCTTAGATTAAAAAAATTAATTTGATTATAATTTTGAAGAAAGAAAATGAGTTGTTTTCCTACTGATGTTTGTCTGAGTAATGAAAGATACTATGAATAATTTTAAGAGTGCAATTGTGATACCATTGCTATTGCTGTGTAACAAACTACCCAAAATATAATAGAGTAAAATATCAATCATTTATTACTGTTAATTCTTACTGTTCTGGGAGTGGACTGGACTGAACTATGCTCTTCTCTCCTAGAGTCTTATGTGACTGTTGTCTGATGGTGGCTGGGGTTGGAATTATCTCAAAAGCTTCTTTTTTCACAAGTTTGGTGGTTTATACTGGCTTCAGCTAGGACCACAGCTGGGGCTACTGGCCAAGACAGTTATATGTGGCTTCTTATTGTGGCTTACACTTCCTCAGTAGATGGTGGCTGGGTTCCAAGAACAAGCATTCTGAGAGAAAGTCAGATGGAAGCTCTATCACCTGTTATGATACTGTCTCAAATGTCACATGGTATCCCTTATGCCATATTTTGTTGTTAGAAATGAGTCACTAAGTTTAGTCCTTATTCAAGAGGAGAGGAATTCATCTCTACTTCTTGATGAGAGGAGTTTTAAAGAACTTGAAGACTAACTTTTAAAACTCTCACAACTGCATACTTACCCTTCCCCGTAGCACCAAACCTTCTCCTTCTACAGTCTCTCCTATTTCAATAAATGGCTTCAGTAGGCCAGAAACCTTGGAGTCTTCTTTTGGTACCTGATTTTAAAATTACAGCAAGCCCCCTTATCCAAGGGAGATGTGTTCCCAGAACACCAGTGGATGCCTAGAGCTACAGCTAGCACTGAACCCTATAAATACTGTGTTTTTTCTATACATACTGTTGTTTGTTTGTTTTTGTTTTTGTTTTTTTAAGATGGAGTTTCATTCTTGTTGCCCAGGCTGGAGTGCAATGGCGTGATCTTGGCTCACTGCAACCTTCACCTCCTGGGTTCAAGCGATTCTCCTGCCTCAGCCTCCCAAGTAGCTGGGATTACAGGCATGTGCCACCACACCTGGCGAATTTTGTATTTTTAGTAGAGATGGCATTTCACCATGTTGGTCAGGCTGGTCTCGAACTCCTGACCTAGGGTGATCTGCCCACCTCGGCCTCCCAAAGTGCCGGGATTACAGGCATGAGCCACTGCGCCCAGCCCATACTGTGTTTTTTTAATATATACATACTTATGATAAAGTTTAATGCATAAATTAGGCACAGTAAGAGATTAACAACAACTAATAATAAACTAGAACAGTTATGGCAATACTGTAATAAAAGTTATGTGAATGTAGTCCCTCTTTCTCTTGGAATACCCACTCTTCTTCATGTGATGATATGAGATGATAAAATGCTTATATGATGAGATGAAGTGAGGTGAATGACATAGGCATTGTGATGTAGTGTTAAGGCTACTATTGATCTTCTGATGATATGTCAGAAGGGGGATTGTCTACTTCAGGTGATCCTGGACTGCAAAACCATCACGATGTCGATGAGTATGGATCCTTGATAGTTGGAGGTTATTTTGCTGAAACCTTTTGGAAGAACATTGTAACTGGAAGTTGTTGTCTCTTTTTTATTAACTCATTGAAGTATTGCTGCAGAGGTTGTAGTGCTTCAGTGATCATATGGGTGACTTTGATACTGTGCCCCATTAAGGATCATATTCTATAATTTTGACATTTAATGTCCGTGCCATTTGAAACACTTCAGCAGATTTTGGTAATGGCCACGTTACTGATTCTGCTTCATTTTCTTCTTCATCTTCCTCTTCCTCTGTAGATGACTCTAATTCTTCCATATCCTCATTATTAACACTTCTTGATGGCCATCAGTATGCCCTTCTACTTCTTCATCAAGCATATTGGCAAATCCTTCTCCACCAACTTGTCTTGCTGTGTGATTTTCCTGGCTTCTCTGCTGATCCCCAAGAAGCCTTTAAAATCATTCATAACTTTACTCCAAACATTCTTCAGGGAGACATCTACAGTTTCTGGTTTTAATTCATCAGTTGCAGCTTTGATGAATGTTACTGCATCAGCAATAGTGATTTCCAGCACTGTATTATGTCATGTTAGGGGCTGCATCGATTGCTGATCAAATGTGATTAAATACTAGGCAAGTGTATGTGGCCTTGACTGACCAGATGATGCACTGGTCAAGGGACTGAAGCAATGAGGTTATATTTGCAGGTCAAAGTAAAACCTTGACATTTTCATTTTCATAGCAAACAGATTCAGGATGGTCAGCTGCATTGTCTATTATTAATAGGACTTTAAATTTCAACTGTTTTCTTCCAAGTAGTTTTTCACTTGGGAGATGAAGCATTGGTGGAACCATTCCATAAACAAGATAGCTGTCACCCATACTTTCTAATTATGTTGCCAGAATTTGGGCAGATAATTTTTCATTTTTTCTTTGAGGGCACATGGATTCTTCACTTTGTACACTATGCTTGGCTCTGTCATATGCCCTGCAGTGTCACCACACGGTACCTGAGTTAATCTGTCCTTCCATGTTTTATGCCTTGATGCCTCCTTTGTACTTTGATAAATGTCAGTTCTTTCAGGCATCTTCTCCCAGAAGAGCCCAGTTTCATCACAATTGAAAGCTTGTTTGGATGGTATCCTTTCTCCTTAATCAGCTTCTTCAACTCTGCCGGAAATGTGACAGCAGCTTCTTCATTAGCAGACACAGACTCTCCAGTAATTTTATATTTTTTAGTCCAAACCTAATCCTCAATCTGTGTGACCTTTCTTTATTTGCAGTAAATGGCTCAGTGTCTCTGGTTTCAGGAGATTCCTTGCTGAAATCTTTGTATAGGCTCAGTGCCTTCTGGTGCAACACATTGCCATCAGTCGGAACATGTTTCTGCTTTTGTCCTTCACCTATAAATTTACTTCCTCTTCCATCTTAACTAAGCACTTATCACACACTGTGGCCAAAACTTTTGCAGTTTGAGATGTGACAGCAGAACTAGCACAAATTTCTTTTTCCTTCACAATTTCACAGATAGAAGATTCGTTTTTACTGTAGATCTTAGCAACCTCAGCCTACGTTTTTTTTCTTTATTAAGGCAAGAACTTTCACTTTTTCACTTACAGGTAGCGCTTTATGGCTCTCTTTGGCATATCTGAATTGCCAGCATCTCTACTCTTGTGTTTTGGAGCCATTATTAAGTAAAATAGAGTTACTTGAATGCAAGTACTGCAATACTTCAGTTGTAGATTTGATAACCTAGAGTTGCTAAATGACTGACGGGTGGGTAGTGTTGACAGCGTGTATACACTGGACAAAGGGATGATTCACATCCTGGCCAGGACACAGTGGGTTGGTGTGAGATTTTATCATGATATTCAGAACAATGCACAATTTAAAACTTATGAGTTGTTTATTTCTGCAGTTTTCTATTGAATATTTCTAGATTGCAGTCGACCTTGGGGTCACTGAAACTGTGGAAAGCAAAACCGTGCATAAGGCAGAACTATTGTATATGGTTTTTCTCTTTTAATTTTTGATGAAATGAAATATGTTATTATATGTCTTTAAGCTAGGCCATCTCCATGTTCTGAAATACACACTTTTCATGCCATGTTCTAATCTCTTCTGGATTTAGATTTGTGAATATTTTGAAGTTTTAGCAATATTAGTGAGATCTATAACTTATGCTCTTAGCAGATGGAGAGAAGAGGTGGAGCTGCTAAAACTTCAGACAGGAGATGCTGGTAGTATGACTAAGGTGCTGGTGGTGAAGAGTATGTGGATTCAAGCAATATGTGGGAAGTAAAAATCAATGCCTTGGTGACAGATTGGATAAGGATGAGGGAGAAGGGGTTAAGAATGATGCCCAAGTATTACTGAAAAGGAACAGGTTTGGAATGAAGATCAAAATGTTATTTTTTGGCCATGTTGAATTTTAGGTGCCTTTGAGAACTAAAGAGGATATATCAAATAGGCAGTCAAGTGATAACAAATAGACCCACATCAAATAAGCCTGAAATTCAGAGGAGAGGTTTGGGCTAGAAATAAATGTTGTAAATCAACTGTGTATAGTTGGTAGTTGAATTCTTAATCCATGAATGAAATAGCAAGGAAGAGAGTAGAGAGGAGGAAGAAGTTGTCTATGCTGAGGAACTACAACATTTAACAGTGAGTAGGGGAATGTTAGCAGGTCAACAAAAGAGAAGCTGGAGAGTTATGAGAAACACTAGGATAGAGTCATCCAAGGACTTTCAGGAGAATGAAGTTAGATAAAGGGTAACACAAGAACCTTGAAGACTAGCAACACAAGTAAAGAAGAACTATTAGGCAGGTAGGAGAGGACTCTGAAAAGAATATTCTAGAAGCCAAGAGAGGAGAGAATTTTAAAAAGAAGTGGCTGGTCAAGAATTTAAAAAGATTATACCTAGCACTTACTGTGTGCTTACTGCATACCTGCCCTTTCTCCCAAGTTCTTAGGTATATAGCTCATCTGATTTTCCAGCCATCCTGAGTAAATCACATCTGTAAAAATGAGGTTCATTTTACAGAGGAGAAAACAATCATGGAGAATTAAATAACTTGCCTGTGTTCACATAGCTTCTCAGTGGTAAAGACAGAATTCGAACTCAGATGTATCTAATTCTAAAGTCCACAGTCATGTTTTATAATTGCGGTGTCCTGTGATTTTGGCTATTTGAAGATCACTGGTGACTTTTGCCATAATGGTTTCTTTGGAGTGTTACAAATAGAAACCTAGCATATAATGGGTTAAAAAGAGCACAGGTAGAGAGGAAGCAAAGACAGCAAGTGACTTTAATAACTAACAAATGGAAGCATCACACATGCTCAAAATAGGGGAATCATTAAATACATTTTCAAATGATAGTATTTTTAAATATTGCATAAACATTAAAATTAGGTTTTTTGAAGGCTGTTTACTGATATCACACACTTTGAAATAGCAAATTTAAAAAGTAGAATATAAAATGACATATATGATGTGATCCCCATTATTTAAGAAATAGATGAACATTTCCACGTAAAGGAAATTCCAAAATATGTTAAAAATAATCACTTAGTCTGGATGGTATAGTAATTGGGTTGTTTTCACTTTCTTTAAAGATGGTCATATGCTGCATAACAACATTTTGGCCAGCAACAGACTGCATGTGTATACAATGGTGCTGAAAAATTTCTGTCATCTAGTGACATGGTAGCTGTCGTAAGGTTGCACTACTCGGTGTTTGTGGCAGTGTTGGTGTAAACATATCCAATACTCTGTCGGTTGTGTACAAGTCTAACACATACAATTATGTACAGTATATAATACTTGATAATGGTAATGACTATATTACTGATTTGTATATTTATTAATCTTAATTATTATTTTAGAGTGTATTCTTTCTACTTATAAAAAACAAATTAACTGTAAAACAGCCTCAGGCAGATCTTTTCAGGAGGTATTCCAGAAGGCATTTGTTATCATAGGAGATGACAGCTCCATGTGTGTTATTGCCCTTGACGACCTTCCAGTGGGACAAATGTGGAGGTGGAAGACAATGATATTGACGATCCTGACCCTTTGTAGGCCTAAGCTAGTGTGCGTGTTTGTGTTGCAGTTTTTAATAAAAAAGCTAGCTATGCACGGTGGCACATGCCTATAATTCCAGTACTTTGGGTGGCTGAGGTGGGAGGATCACAGCCTAGGAGTTTGAGACCAGCCTGGGCAACTTGGCGAAACCCTCATCAACAAAAAATACAAAAATTAGCTGGGTGTGGCAATGCACACCCGTAGTCCCAGCTGCTTGGGAGTCTGAGGTGAGACAATTGATTGAGACTGGGAAGTTGAGGCTGAAGTGAGCTATGTGCCACTGCACTCCAGCCTGGGTGACTGAGTGAGACCTTGTCACACAAAAAAAAGTTTAAAAAATTTAAAAAATAGAAAAAAGATTGTGGAATAAGGATATAAAAAAGAAAATATTTTTGTACACTGTACAATGTGTTTGTGTTTTAAGCTGTGTTCTTATAAAAGAGTCACAAAGTTAAATTTAAAAGTATATAAAGTAAAAATACAGAAAGCTGAGATTTATTATTGAAGGAAGAAAAATATTTTAAAATAAATCTAGGGTAGCCTAGGTGTACAGTGTTTATAAAGTCTACGGTAGTGTACAGTAATGTCCTAGGCCTTCACGTTCACTCGTCACTCACTCACTGACTCACCCAGAGCAACTTCCAGTCTTCTAAGCTCTGTTCATTGTAGGTGCCCTATCCAGGTCGGCCACTTTATAATATTTTAGAACATATTTTTACTGTACTTTTTCTATGTTTAGATGTATTTATATAACACAGATACTTAACATTGTGTTGCAGTTGCCTAGAGTATTCAGTACAGTAATATGCTATACAGGTTTGTAGTCGGTGAGCAATAGGCTATATACCATATAGCCTAGTTATGTAGTAGGCTCTACACTCTAGGTTTATATAAGTACACTCTATGATGTTCCACAAAAACTAAATTGCTTAACACATGTCTCAGAACATATCTGTGTTAGTAAGTGATGCATGACTGTATTTTAAACATGAGCTCTGCTAGATTTTGCAGAGATTATATTCTCCATTAGGTCACTTTTTGGCTAGTTTTTATAGATCTGAGTAACATAAATAATAATACGTGACATTTGTGTAATGCTTCACAGTTTACAGAGTCCTCTTGAATACTCTTCTATTTTATCCCATAATAGCAAGTAACAGCCCTGCTGTGTCAGTTTTATGGATGAGAAAGTGGAGCTTCATAGTGTTTAAGTGATTAGCTTGAGGTCACACAACTTCTAAGAGGAGGATTTGGAGCTGGAGCTTGCCAGACTTTAAATCCTCTGGTTGAGAACCACTCTTTTAAAAGGGTAGATAAAAATAAGTAAAATTTAAAAGTGAAAATTAAAGCTGTAGCAATTGAGTTTTCCTACCCAACTTTCATGTATTAGTGGTAGGGATTTTTTTTTTCTATCTTGAGTATTAAAACCTTTCAGAAATTTACATTCTTGTTATTATAAAAGATCACATCTCCTTGGATAATGTGTGCCATTGTTCCAGTTTTTAAAATTTACAGTTTTAATGTTACTGCCTTAAAATTTGTAAACATTGTTTTTACTTAGATTTTGCTTCTACTCTTTTAAAACTAAAGAAATCTGTTTACTTGACCACTTACGTTTTTACATCCTGATAATAAATCTTTTCTAAGAATTTGACTCTTGTCTCTTGTGTTTGGTAACATTCAGTATTATACTGCTAGTACCAATTCCATGTGATTAGATTAAAAATGACCTAACTTCAGGTCCTTAGCTCTTATTGATAGCACTAAAAATTGTTTTAAGACCTATATGCATGAAAATACAGTAGAAGTATTGCTAGAGTAAAATGTATTTTTAGGTTGAAAATGCAAGAAATTCTGTTAGACAAAATTGTAAACAAATGTAAAAAAATAAACGCATACTTCAGAAATATTGCTGGTTCATTTTCAGACTACTGAAGTAAAGCGAATATCTCAGTGAAAAGAGTCATATGAATTTTTTGGTTTCCCAGTGCATACAAAAGTTATGTTTACGCTATACTCTTAAGGGTGCAGTAGCATTATGTTTAAAAAATGTACATATCTTAATTTAAAACTTTACTGCTAAAAGATACTAATGATCATCAGAGCTTCAGTGAGTCATAATCTTTTTCCTGGTGGAAGATCTTGCCTCAGTGTTGATGGCTACTGACTGATCAGGGTGGTGGTTGCTGAATATTGGGGTGGCTATGGCAATTTCTTTTCTTTTTTTTTAGAGACAGAATTCAGTGGCGCTTTCATAGCTCACTGTAGTCTTGGATTCCTGGGCTCAAGCAACGCTCCTGCCTCAGCCTCCTGAGTAGCTGGTACTACAGGGACAGCTATTTAAAAAAAAAATTAGTATTTTTAAAGATGGAGTCTCCCCATGTTGCCCAGGCAGGTCTCAAACTCCTGGCCTCAAGTGATCCTTTAGCCTCAGCTTCCCGAGTAGCTGGGATTACAGGTGCCAGCTGCTGTGCCCAGCTCCAGCTGTGGCAATTTGTTAAAATAAGACAGCAATGAAGTTTGCTACATCAATTGACTCTTTGTTTTACAAAAGAATTGTCTGTAGCATGCAGTGCTGTTTATGGCATTTTACCCACACTAGGACTTCTTCCAAAACTGGAGTCAATTCTCTCAATCCCTGCCACTGCTTTGTCAGTTAAACTTATGTAATCTAAGTCCTTTTTTGTCATTTCAACGATGTTCACAGCATCTTCACCAAGAGTATCTCCCATCTCAAGAAATCACTTTCTTTGCTCATCCATAAGAAGCAACTGTTCATTCATTTAAGTTTTACCATGAGATTGCAGCAATTCAGTCACATTTTCAGGCCTCACTTCTGATTCTACTTCTCTTGCTGTTTCTCCCACGTCTGCAATTACTTTCTCCACTGAAGTCTTAAACCCCTCAGTCATCTATGAGGGTTGGAATCAACTTCCAACTCCTGTTAATGTTCATATTTTGACCTTCTCCCATGATCCTGAATGTTTTTAATGCCATCTAGAATAGTGAATCCTTTCCAGAAGCTTTTCAGTTTACTTTGTCCAGATCCATCAGAGAAATCACTATCTGTGGCAGCAATCGTCTTATGAAATATAGCTCTAAAATCATAAGACTTGAAAGTCAGAATGACCCCTTGATCCATGGGCTGCAAAATGGATGTTGTCTTAGTAGGCATGAAAACACCATTAATCTTCTTGTACATCTCCTTCAGAGGTCTTGAGTGACCAGGTGCATTGTCAGTGAGCAGTAATATTTTGAAAGATCTTTTTCTCCTGAGCTTTCAACAGTGGACTTAAAACATTCAGTAAACCATGCTATAAACAGGTGTGCTGTCATTAGGCTTTGTTGTTCCATTTATGGAGCAGAGTAGACTGAGCATAATTCTTAAGGGCTCTATGATCTTCAGAATGGTAAATGAGCATTGGCTTCAACTTAAAGTTCCCAGCTGAATTAAATCCTTATAAGAGAGTCAGCCTGTCCTTTGAAGCTTTGAAACCAGGAATTGACTCCTCTCTAGCTATGAAAGTCCTAGAAGGCATCTTCCAGTAGAAAGCTGTGTCATCTACATTGAAAATCTGTTGTTTAGCATAGCCACCATCATCAATGATCTTAGCTAGATCTTCTGCATAATTTGCTGCAGCTTCTACGTCAGCACTCGCTGCTTCATGTTGCACTTTTATGAAGATGGCTTCTTTGATTTAGCCTTATAAACCAACCTCTGCCAGCTGCCAACTTTTCTTCTTTACCTTCCTCACTTCTCTCAGTCTTCATAGAATTGAAGAGAGTCAGCACCTTGCTCTGAACCAGGCTTTGGCATATAGGAATGTTGTGGCTGGTTTGATCTTCTAACTGGAACTAGAATTTACTCCATATCAGCAATAAAGTAGTTTCCCTTTCTTATTACTCATGTGTTCACTGTAGTAGCACTTTTAATTGCCTTCAGGAACTTTTCCTTTGCATTCATAACTTGGCTGTTTGGAGCAAGAGGTCTGGCTTTCGGTGTATCTTGGCTTTTGCCATGCTGTCCTTGCTAGGCTTGATTGTTTCTAGCTTTTGAATTAGAGTGAGAGACGTGTGACAAAACACGTACAGTGTTTATCAATTAGGTTTCCTGTGTTCTATGGGCACAGTTTGTGGTGCCCCAAAACAATTACAATAGTGACATCAAAGATCGCTAATCACAGATCACCATAAAAGATACAATAGTGGCACTGGAAACATTTGAAATATTGCTAGAAGTACTGGGACAGAGACACAGAGTGAGCACATGCTCTTGGAAAAATGGTGCTGATACACTTGTTCAATGTGGAATTGCCGCCGCAAACCTTCAGTTTGTAAGAAACACAGTATTTGCAAAATGCACAAAAGCAAAGTGTATAAAACCAGGTATGCTTATATAAAACTACTGTTGTTATAATGGAGGAAAATACAAAAGTGATGTCAAACAGTGTGGTGTATGCTACTTTTAGAACCTCCCTTTTTTGTGTGTGTGTCAGTGACTCTAGCATAAGTCTAATGAGTTGATTGACCTGTATAGCACTTTACTTTATTACTTATGTTGTAATAAGTGATGGGTTTTATTTTTAAAATAAGCAGTCTGTATTTTCTATTGTAATGTATTTCTGGAGATTATATTTCAAAAATTGGGGTGAGAAATACTTATAAAAGGAAATCTAAAGAACTAGCTGGATAAAGGAAAAATGGGAAGAGAAAGGGACAAGAGTGGAAAAGTAAAACTTCAATCTTTTAGCAAAGGGAAATACTGAATTTGCTTAAGAGATTAGAGCCGTTGCTGAAATCAAGATGTGTAAAAAAATTACCCCTTGTATGTTATCGGAGCAAAGTATTTGGGGTCAGGAGCTTCCTGTGTCTGCCACTTAAATGTTTAATATTGTGCAAGTAACTTAACTTTCCTGAACCTCAGAGATGCTAAGATCAATGTATACAGAAGTGGTATATGAAATGGTTAGTATTATGTAAATGTTTGTTATTATTACTTTTTCTTTTTGCTTTTTTGGCTGTGAGATAGTGGGCAAGTAAACTAAGTTCTTTGTGCATACTAATAAGCACATAGAGAATACTCATATATTATGAGATTCTTACTTCTCTTGTCTGGCACTCTTTTTCAGAATTTCATTCTAGAGGTTCTTGTTTAGTGTATTAGCCTTTAAACGGTATTTATCCATTCTTTCTCTTTATAATAAATTTGGACTAAAGTAAGATATATGATTGTAATAGTAATTTATATATTTTATAGCTTATAACATAGGCCTATAATAGCAATAGTAGTCCTGTATTGGTGGCCAGTTGTAAATTATTAAGTCATGGCTATGGCTACAAAATTAAATAGATTTTATTGGTTATTCTTTTTGAATTCTTTCTTCAGATACAGAAGTTTACGGTGAGTTTTATCCCGTGCCACCTCCCTATAGCGTTGCTACCTCTCTTCCTACATACGATGAAGCTGAGAAGGCTAAAGCTGCTGCAATGGCAGCTGCAGCAGCAGAAACATCTCAAAGAGTAAGAAAATTTCATCATTTCTTTTGATAAAATTATTTTCGTTAATTGATATATACATTTAGTAATACTAAAAACAGTTCTTTGTGTGTAAGTGTGTATGTAGATTTTTTTTGAGCATTATGGGTTTAAACTGCACAGGTCTACTTGTATGCAGATTGTTTTAAATAAATATATTGGAAAAATATTTTGGAGATCTGCAGCAATTTGAAAAAACTTGGGACAAATTGCATAGCCTAGAAATATCAAAAAAATTAAGAAAAGGCCTGTAATGAATGTATAAAATACATGTAAATAGTAGTTTATGTATTATCGACTGTTTATGTTATCAGTAAGGCTTCTAGTTAACAATAGGCTGTGAGTCGTTAAGTTTTGGGGAAGTCAGAGTTATACTCAAATTTTCTACCGCATGCAGGTGGGTCGGTGTCCCTAACCCGTGTATTGTTGAAGGGTTACTGTATTTGTTCTACTGTTGCTTATGTGTGTGGTCACTTTTTGTTGAAATTGGCATTCTCCTAGTTAAATTCACCTTCTTTATCCCTTGACTTCCTCTTTTCTATTGCTCTTCCCCGCTTATCCCTTCCTAAATTTTGATTTCAGGCCCCTCATGTGTTAGCCTTCACTTCGCATCCTAACTCACTCACTCTGGTTACCACCACTTGGAAAGTTCTTCTCTTTGCCTGGACCTCAAGTCCACTGACCTCTTTGCTGTCCATGTACTTATTTATCTTCTTACATAGTTTGAATTCCATGGCCTATCATTTTAATTGTGAATCATCTTTTTTTCTATTTATGTTTCTATATTAGCATAGCCAGTTTAGTGACTGTGAAAGAACTCAAGGTAGCCAAAAAACACAGAGAAATGTTACAAGGCCTTCAAATTATTTTTGTCAGCTGTTTTTTTTTTTTTTTTTTTTTTTGATAACATTCTACTCTAGAATTTTGGAATGATGATCAAGCATTCTGTCTTCCTCATCTACATGTTTTAGTAATGGAGTTAATGAGATACATGTGTATTACTCTTTGCTCTGGTAAATGGAGTGGCTGTCTCAGTAATGGAGAGTCAGTGAGATACATACACATCTACTATTCTGCAGCCAGGTAAGAGGCAGAAATTATTTACATTTTAGTGTGGCTGCAAGGAGGGCTAGAATTTTTTGCCTTTTTTTTCTTGCTTCAGACTTGAGAGATGCCGTTTCAGATCCCTGGATTCACCCCATTTTGTTCGGGAAAAAGACAAAAAAATCAATTCACCCAGGAAAGCTAGAATTAGGTGAGGAGTCAAGGGAGAGAGATGTGCTTCCATGTATGGCATTCTCCTCTAGCTGCTATGAGGTCAGAGCCCAGCAAGCAGATCCTCTGAGAGAAGAGCATGTGCCCTGAATGTGTTTCTTTGATCAGCAATAACCCTATTTATGCCTGCTCCTACTACCCTCTTCCAGCACACACAGGGTTAAACGTCAACATAAATAGCTTTGGACACAGTTATGAAGGTAGATAAAGACAGTAAACTCCGAATTTATTTTTTATGCCTTTTCCTTCACAGAGGAGGAAAGTAAGTCTCTTAACACAGTGGCATAATATAGCTGAGTCAATAAGAATTTTTGTTGCTTTGAGGGGAACATCACAGAGGAGGAGGATAGATCTAAATAGGGTATTTTTGTCTAAATAAGTTCTCGGTTACTTAGAACACATATATTTGTAAATGAACATGCACATCTCTCAGTGAAGTAGATTGATTCCTCTCTAGCTATGAAAGTCCCAATAACTCCTTTTCTCAGGGGGTGTTTGCCCAGAGACCTTAAGAAGTATTATGGACCGTAGATCATTTACTGCCCTAACTTCCATACAATAGGATAGAATTCTAAAGACAAGGTAGGAAGCATTAAGTCTTGGTAAGTGTGCTTTGAGAAAAGTTGATTTTACCCCTTTTGAAGAGAAAAGTCTGAAGTATTACTGTTCCATTCCCTCATTGTCATCATTTCCAGCACCCTGTTTTAGAAAGTAAATGTAATCCTCAGCCAGAATTGGAACATGTCCATAAAGAAAAGCTCCCTGTTTTTACCTGCTTCTGATATCATTGTAACCCCAGCTTGTGAGCATTGTGGAAAATTTCATAGACAGCAAAGTATTAATAGAATTGTGTACAAGAGACTAACTTAGGTCTTGTAAAAAATCTTATAAATTTACCAGTGCTTCCTAACCCGGTGCTTCAGCACCCTCTTTGTGCAGAGTATGAATGTTTGCATATGAGTCTCCATTACCTGATTGAGATGAAAAATTGGTCAATGCTTGAAAATTGCTAGGAGAGTAGATTTTAAGCGTTCTTGCACAAAAAAAATATTTGAGGTACTGTACATGGTAATTAGCTCAATTTAGCCACTCCACAATGTATACACATTTTAAAACATCATGTAATACATCATAAATATATACAGTTTTTGTCAATTACAAACAAAATTTAAAAATTGAAAAAAAGTCTCATCAAATTAGCATTTGAGTACATTCAGTTGTAAATGAGTCTCAGCTGGGTGAGTTGAAAGCTTGTTTCCTAAATCAACTCTCACTGGGAGAATATAGATAGTCAAGAGACTTTAAAACTACTGTTTTTACTATTTCCTATTTCTGATGTGTAGAATTGCACGTATGTTATGGAATGGTTAAGTAGATTTCTGAAAATGACAACTCATTGTTAATATTTCTATGAAAAATGCTAATTCCAAACTATTAATTTTATAAGATGTTTAGAACATGGCTTGTTCTTCAGGTAGACTCATTTCATCTTATAATGGGTAGGGCTCTTTTTTTGTAACTTGTTTTAAATTGTTGCAGTAACTTGTCTTTTGACTAGATAAATCATGAGCAACACCAGGACAGAGATCTTGCATTTACATTCCCAGTACCTAGTTATTTATCAGGCACATTTTTGTTGTTTAGTCAATGACAGTTGATTAAGTTAATGAATGCTTTCTTTGTGTTAGCCAATGTGGGAAAATAGAAAGAGGAAAACACCACAGGTGTTCTGTTACAGCTCTCTATTTTAAAATATTTTGATGTCTTTACCAATTTCAGGATTCACAAATTAATGTTTAATGTAGTTGAAATTATTGCCTAGATACCATTTTATTTTTTAAACATCTTATATAAATATTTCCCTGTTACTTAATAGTTAAATTCCCTGTAATCAATATGCTATTGAAACTTAGTGGCCATTCCTCTAGAGTGAACAATTATTTTCAAATGTTTGTGTTTCGATTTTTTCTATTAATATTATAAAAGACATCTTTGGGCATATTGCAGTGACTCACTCCTGTAATCTCAGCACTTTGGGAGGCTGAGGCAAGCAGGTTGCTTGAGCTCAGGAGTTTGAGACCAGCCTGGGCAACACAGCGAGACCTTATTTCCACTAAAAAGAAAAAAAAAAATCAGCTAGGTGTGGTGGCATGCACCTGTAGTTCCAGCAACTTGGAAGGCTGAAGTGGGAAGATCACTTGAGCCCAGGAGATTGAGGCTGTAGTGATCCCGGATGAAGACTGCAGTGAGCCATGATTGTGCCACTGCACTCCAGCCTGGGTGAGAGTGAGATCTTGTCTTAATTTTTTTTTTTTTCCTAAATGATGACTTTTGATAAAATTTCTGTATTGATTTTTTGGTGGTGGTTGTTTTGTTTTTGAGGCGCAGTCTCACTCTGTCTCCTAGGCTGGAATGCAGTAGTGCAATCTCAGTTCAGTGCAACCTCCGCCTCCCCAGTTCAAATGATTCTCCTGCCTTAGCCTCTTGAGTAGCTGGGACTACAGGAGCACGCCACCACATCTGGTTAATTTGTTTTTGTATTTTTAGTAGAGATGGGTTTCGCCATGTTGGTCAGGCTAGTCTTGAACTCCTGACTTCAAGTGATCCACCCACCTCGGCCTCCCAAAGTGCTGGGATTACAGGCATGAGCCACTGTACCTGGCCTGGACTGATGTTTTAAAATACACAGTATGAAATATATTTTTGCCATCACACTGACAATTTTTTGTTCTTACTGTGCTTTAATGTTTATTTCTTGAATTAATTTGAAATTATTTAAAATTTTATAAATATGCACTTAGTCATGGCCAGTCATTAAATTTAGTATATTGAGTTTACCTATGATATATGATTGCACAATTTAAGGGATCTTTGTGCCCGAATAATAAGCAATATAAAATGGTTTTGAAAGTTTTTTTATTTCAGGATAGCAGTATGCTTAGTGAGACTACCATGATTGTGTGGAAACAACATCAGTGTCCTGGATTCAAGTTCCACTTTGACCCTCCTAATTATGTGATATTGAGCAGAGCCCTAGCTTCTCAGACTTGGCCTCACAAAATTGAGTTATTCACACTCAACTGAGATGATGTGTACCGTATTAGTCCATTTTCACACTGCTATAAAGAAATACCCAAGACTGGGGAATTTATAAAGAAAAGAGGTTTAATTGACTTACAGTTCTGCAGACTGTATAGGAAGCATAGCAGCTTCTGGGGAGGCCCCAGGAAACTTACGATTGTGGCGGAAGGTGAGGGGGAAGCAGGCCCATTTTACATGGCTGGAGCAGGAGGAAGAGAGAGAGTGAAGGGGTGATGCCACACACTTTTAAACAACCAGATCTCAGAAAAAACAATAATGCACTCACTCACTCTCATGAGAACAGCGCCCAGGAAAATGATGTGAAACCATTAGAAACCACCCCCATGATCCGATCACCTCCTACCAGGCCCAATCTCCAACAGTTGAGGATTACAGTTGAATATGAGATTTGGATGGGGACACAGATCGAACCATATAATTCTGTCCCTGGCCTCTCCCAGATCTCATGTCCTTCTCACATTTCAAAATACAACCATGCCTTCCCAAGAGTCCCCCAGAATCTTATTCCAGCATTAACTCAAAGAGTCAACAATCCAAAGCCTCATCTGAGACAAGGCAAGTCCCTTCCACCCACGGGCCTGTAAAATCAAAAACAAGCTAATTACTTCTAAGATAAAATGGCACTATAGGCATTGGGTAAATATGCTGGTTCCAAAAGGGAGAAATTGGCCAACAAAAGGGGATACAAGCCCCATGGAAGACCGAAACCAAGCCTGACAGTCATTAAATCCTAAAGTTCCAAGATAATATTTTTTTGAGACGGTCTCACTGTCGCCCAGACTGGAGTGCAGCGGTGTGATCTCGGCTCACTGCAGCTGCTACCTCCCGAGTTCAAGCGATTCTCATGCCTCAGCCTCCTGAGTAGCTGGGATTACAGGCATGTGCCACCATACCTGGCTAATTTTTGTATTTTTAGTAGAGGCAGGGTTTCACCATGCTGGCCAGGCAGGTCTTGAACTCCTGGCCTGAAGTGATCCACCTGTCTTGGCCTTCCAAAGTGTGAGATTATAGGCGTGAGCCACAGCGCCTGGCCAGAATAATCTTTGACTCCACGTCTCACATCCAGGGCTTACTGGTACAAGGGGTGGGCTTCCCAGGCCTTGGGTAGCTCTGCCCCTGAGGCTTTGCAGTGTACAGCTCTGTGGCTGCTTGAGGGACTGGCATCGAATGCCGGCAGCTTTTCCAGAAAAAAGGCCACCAATGCCTCTACCTGGAAGACATGTAGAAACATGATAGACTTGGGGAGAATTGTCTCCTAACATAGTCTGCTGTTGATGGGCATTTAGATTGTATCTAATCTTTTGCTCTTATTAACATTGCTGGAATGAATTATCTTTAATACATCATTTTTATAAGAGGGAATATGTGTGTGTGTGTATACATATATATATATGTGCAGTGTATTTTAAGAACTGGAATTGCTGGATCATAGGGTATGCACATTTTTATTTTTGATAATTATTGCAAAATTGCCAACAATATAAGTTGTACCAATTTATACTCCACCACTGGTTATGAAAGTTCTTATTTCCCAGTCATTACTAATGGAGCACTGTCACATGTATCTTCTTGATACCATTTTTATGAGTTTGATGTTATTCATCTTTTATCTTTTTTGTGTTTATCTTTAAAGTTACTCTTTTCAAATGTGACTGTGAAAAAATATTAGTTGCTAATGCTTATTGATTACTCTGTGCCAGACATTGTACTCATTATTGCATTTGTCTATACAACAAATTGAGAACATTAGATGTTGCTGAAGTTCTTATGCTTACATTTAAGATGATAAAGTTGTAATTTTTAGTGAGCTATTCCAATGTTACATATTTACAGATTCAGGAGGAAGAGTGTCCACCAAGAGATGACTTCAGTGATGCAGACCAGCTCAGAGTGGGGAATGATGGCATTTTCATGCTGGCATTTTTCAGTAAGTAATCTTCCTAAACTATTTTGGGTTGTTTTTATGAATTGGCTGTATGTGTATTAAAGTAACATAGTGAAGAGAAGCAAATATTGTTAGCATATGTCTACCTTTCTTAAAATGTAAATTGTTCCTGATATTGGACTAATGAATACTGTGATCATATGTTTAAATACAAATCCTAGAATTTATCAAACTCTTGTTGGATAAATTTATGCGTTGCAGCCATTATGAAGATGCTGACATGTAAAAGTACATAAGCATATTTAAGCTATTTCAGATTTTTAAAGAGAAATACTGCTATATTGGTGCCCATTCAGCTCTGTAGGAGCGTATAGAATGAAACTATAAATTGCACTATTGGGGCAGAGGATTTCCATTTGAGTGTCCTTAAGCTAGAAGAAGGATTGGAAAAACAGATATTCTGGGCAACTGGAACAGTGTCACTTGGGACAGACAGTTATGAAAGTATAAGTCTTATTTGGGGGAATGTTAAGTAGTTAGAAGATCAGAAACAGTAACATTTTAACATCTTGCAGAATTCTTAGTATTTGACTTATAAAGTAAATTTAATCTTCTTGAGGGAAGACTGTGTCAAAGTCTTCATTATTTCAATTCATAATACAGGGATTGACATAGTAAACTCATTAAATAATAAGATGCCCAATCAACTGTTTAAATTACTAAAGCCAGTGGTAGAAACCCAATATTCATTTAAGTAAGTTTATTAGTCTATGATATAGTTAATTTCTGCCCTCAATCTGGTTAAATGATCAAGCTTTCATTCTTGGATAGAATGCTGATTTAATTCAATTTAGTTAAAAGCTTTATTATGATCATAAAACCGAGAAATAATTTACTTATTTAAAGTGCCACATTCAGCTTTAAAAAGTAGAAAATACAGCCTTCGTGAGTTGTCACTTTTGAGTCTGAAAGTCCATGTAAACCCTGTCCTCCAAGTTTGAAATGGTTTCTTGCTTCCCTTCTATTTTCATCTGCTGAAGAAAAGACGGGGAGGGGAATGAGCAAGGAGGGCAGACAGCTCCTCAAATTTACTAATTGTAATGTTCACGTTGTCAACCAGCTAATGTATATGCAAGATTTAAATCTTAAATTGGTTTTAGTTACAATTTCTAGTTATATAATGTTAGGTATAATAAAAAGGAAATAAACTGTGGTTACAAATGAGTGCTGTTTTGTAATATTAGTCCTGTGAACCTTGGTTTTTATCTTAATTTTGGTTTAACTGGTAATCCTATATATTAATAACATTTTAATAACAAACTTCTCACAGTTTGTTTACAAAAAAGAGTAGCTTAAACATTCATTACTTTCATTGTTATTATACCTTTTAAGAAACCTTAATTAGAAAGGAAAGGATCTAAATATATTGTATTATTTTTAGTATAAATACCTGGTTCTGGGGAATAAAAACATGTTATTTGACACCTTCTAATTATGCAACTCAGAAGTCTTATTTCTCCGTTTATTTCACTTACCACCAGTATCTTCTTTTTAATTTTAATTTTTTAGATTTGAAGCCCTTTCACTGATGTGTTATAAATGCATGGTAACTTAGACACACTGGATGACTTTATTCTTAGCCAGTGGTAGTATATTAGTTAATATAATGTAAATGTATATATTTATATTTAATAGATTTAATATATATTTTACTAAATTTTTACTAAATTGTTTCCACAACTTATATATTTAATGCTTCCTGTTTTACAAATATTGTACCAACATTATAACAGTAAATTTATATTTTTACCTGTATTTCCTGATTTTTTTTTCTGGCAGGCTATAGGCCTAGAGTTTATTTGCTTGATAAGCATAGATTTGTTTGTCATCACTACCATCTAGTGGCTGTTTTTCAAATTGCAACTTGCTATATTTTCCGTGTTTCTTAAATATCTAATAGCTACTGTGGGTAAAAAGGTCCAGAAATAGATTTTATTTTTAGTGTGGTTTAATTATAACTTAAGCATTTCAGGTTATATAACTTGCACAAGTAAAATTACAGTGAATATCAATAAGACTATTTCAATTAAAACCTTTTGGTGGCTTAATTCTTTCCTTCTTTATTTTCAGTGTTTTACCTCACATAACCTAAAAAAAGTTTACACTTAAATTTGGTAAGATAATTGCATATTCTTGTTCAGAAAATGTAAAAGAAGAAATGTTTGTAATAATGCTTTTGCTTCTCAAAATCCTTTTAAAGTGTTACCATAAAATGCCTCAGATACATGCCTAATGTGCATATCTCTGATCTTATTTTTAAGAAATTTTCTAAGAGAATGGAACAGAATTTGGTTATTTGCCAAATACTAGAAATGAAAAGTTTATGGATAATTGACAGTCTATGGAAATGACCTTAAATTTTAGTACTTCAAAATGTAATGGGCTCTTATTTGATCCTGTTTAGAAAACTTTTCTTCTGAGGTTTAGCCATTTGTACCGTGTGTGAATCTTCACATCAGCATGCCATGATAATAAGTAATCACCTGCATTATTATCATTTTAGACTTGAGGGAAACAGAAAGAGAAGGTATTTGTAACCTTAAAATAATTAGAAGGGTGTTTTGAAATGTGAATTCTGATTTGTAAGAAATTGCCAAACTGTCTTCCAAAGTGGCTGTACTATTTTGCATTCCCACCAGCAATGAATGAGAGTTCCTGTTGCTCTGTGTCCTTGCCCGTATTTGGTGTTGATGGTTTTTTTGTGTTGTTCTGTTTTTTGTTTTTTTTTTCAGACATTCTAATAGTTTGGTGATGGTATCTTATTGTGGTTTAATTTTTATTTCCCTAACAATTGATGTTAAGCATCTTTATTCAGTTTATTCTTTTGAGCACCTACCATATACAAGTCAAAAAGTTACAGTTTTTAAAGGGGTTATCTGGACACTACACATCTTGACACATCTTGGAAAACAAAACATTGATGTCTTATTCTGTCCACAAAAAGCTGTTTTTTATATAGCTTTTACATGACATTACATAGCATAAGTAAATTCAGAAAAGGAACATCTAAGAATTGTAATTACAGCTGAGGAAACCCATAAAGTATTTGTCAAGTATTCAATTTTATTGTTTTGTTTACCTTTTTTTTCCTTTTTTTTTTTGAGCCGGAGTCTTGCTCTGTTGCCCACATTCCAGTGCAGTGGCGTGATCTTGGCCCACTGCAACCTCTACCTCCCAGGTTCAAGCAATTCTCCTGCCTCAGCTTCCCAAGTAGCTGGGATTACAGGTGCCCACCACCACACCCGGCTAATTTTTATATTTTTAGTAGAGACAGGGTTTCACCATGTTGGCCAGGCTGGTCTCGAACTCCTGACCTCAGCTGATCCCCCTGCCTTGGCCTCCCAAAGTGCTGGGATTACAGGCATGAGCCACTGTGCCTGGCCTGCTTTACCTTTTTTAAAAAGCCAATTTTGTTGGCTGATTGCTTAGGCTGGACTTCTTGGGTGGAACCACATGTGAGATACATTGTGATCTGGTTTTAAGCTAGTTTATAACTGCAGTTACAACCATTAATGATAAGCTTTCAGGAATGGATTCCTGTTGGCCAAACTGACAAGAAACCAAGCTTACCCATTTGTTGATATACAGTATAGCAAATAAGCCATTTGCAAAAAGTAGGCTATAGTCTATAAAGAAGGCTTAATTGGCAGAGTTAAAAGAAAGGGAGCTGCTGTTTCCATTGAGCCATGAAATATTATTAATATGTCTATGTTAATTTGTTTCCAAATTGTGGTTTATAAAAGAACGGTTTCTGTTGCTTTTAGTGGCATTTATTTTCAACTGGCTTGGATTTTGTTTATCCTTCTGTATCACCAATACCATAGCTGGAAGGTATGGTGCTATCTGCGGATTTGGCCTTTCCTTGATCAAATGGATCCTTATTGTCAGGGTGAGTGTCTTGATAGCCTGTATCTCTTTTATCTCTAAAATGAGATGTATGAAATTTTCTGTGTGGTTCATAAATGGTCACTTTATTTTCATGAATTCAGTTATTTCAAGGCTTATTCTTAAATCCTATACTTAATCATTATAGTGAGCTCTGTGGTATGAACACTTTATAACTTTATCATATGAGAAGTTGTTAATATAGTGGAAAGAACTTTGAAATAATAAAAATTTAAGTTTGAATCTCATCTTTTTTATATGTCTTAACTTTATTTAATTGTTCTGAGCATTAGTTTCTTTATAATAGGCTGATAATAGCTGCCTTGTAGGATTTTTATGAGGTATGGAAATAATGTAATTAAAGTACCTTATCCAGTTACTGCACAAATATATGTGCTCAGTAAATCATGGCTACTATTATTGTGATATAGTGCAGGTATGCCTAAATTAAGTTAAAACATAAAAATTTCTCGTTTAGTCACATTATCATGACCTTAAATATCTTCTCACTGTTTTCTTTTGAAAACATTGAGAGCTCAAAAGTGAAGGCCTGTGAAGTGGTTATCAGAACTCTTTTTTTCCCTCATGCTTCTTCTAACCTTCCTTATTTTCCTGTTGTTCCCTGAAGTCACCCCCTGCCTTCTTATAATTTACAAGATAGTGCGTAGGGAGACAAGTTCCCCATCTTAACAACTTTTCTAGTCTCCAGATAGTTTTCTGTAAAAATTGCATAGGCATTAGTGTTGTTCGCATAATCATCCCCCAGCCTTTTGAAGGCCTCTTTTGACTTCTTTTTACAAATGTTTCTTCCTAGTTTTTTTTTTTTTTAACTGTAAGATCTAGGAGAATGATCAAGAGTGCTTTACTTACTGTTGTAATAAGTCTTTTGAAAAATTACCTACACATTTTAAATGCTGTTATACAATTAATAAATTAAAATACATACATTCTACATTTAAACATTGATTTCTAATTGAATGAGCTAAATCCTCCTAAAATTTTTAGTAGAATCATAGATCAAATATATTAGCTTCTCTTAAATGTTCACTTTAATAATATATATTATGAAGTTGATTTAAAAGTACCCACTATGAAAATATTAATGTTTATGGATGTAATGCATTTCTTCATTATTTTAAAACTTATAGCTTTCCAGGGTTTCAGTAATCCATAGGTTTTGATTATTAATCAGTTAATTCTTGGTTGGGACCTATGGACTGGTTTCTTCTAAGATAGTTAAAATTTGAGCCATCATTAGAACTATCCCCTGACAATTTCTTGTTTTAATTTTATTGCAAAAGATGTACAGTGGGTTCCTAACACAAGTATAAATCTATTAGCTGTTACAGAACATACAAAGATAAAGGCACAGTCCCTTCCCTTATAGAAATTATTATTAAAAAAACCTCAAAGTTGGGCCTAGATAAGTCCAATGTTGATTATGATACTAATAGAATTAAGCACTATTATTCAAATGGGATTTCTCATCTAAATCACAGAACATAGAAAATGATATGAGGACTGTTTTCTCAATTCTCCCTGTTAGTAAATTGCTAGTATCATTCTAGATGTGTAAGAAAGAAGTTAATGCATCTTATACAACTTATGTCCTTAAAGTATTACAGCTTAATTTTCTCATAAGAACCTCAGGTTGAGAAGGGATTAGATTATCTAGTTATCACCTCTAGTTGATGTGATAAGATGGGGAACTTAAATTCAAAGACTAGAGTTTCTTACAGTTTTGTAAGGTAAATACTGTCATCAAGTTTGATCACCAGGACTGTTTAGTTTCCCTTAAAATACTTTTACTGAGTTAGAGTTAATGTTATGCCTTTAGTGTGTACTAAGAAGTGTTATAAGAAAAGGACTTAAAAAAATCTTTTGTATAAAATAACAATAACTGCCATTCATTTAACCCTTAGTGTATGCCAGGCATAATTTGTTACAAGCAACGAATTTTCAAACTTTAACTGTATCTCTGATGCTGGTGATGATCTAGCCATTTTATTGGTGATGAAACTAAGAATAAAAAGAGTCAAATAATTTGCTCAAGGTCCCACAGTTGTTTTTTTTGTGGAGACGGGGTCTCACTCTGTCGCCCAGGCTGGAGTGCAGTGGTGCCATCTTGGCTCACTGCAACCTCCGCCTCCCGGGTTCAAGCAATTCTCCTGCCTCATCCTCCAAGTAGCTGGGACCATGGGCACATGCCTCCACGCCTGGCTAATTTTTTGTATTTTTGTAGAGACAGGGTTTCACCGCGTTGCCCAGGCTGATCTCAAGCTCAGGCAATCTGCCTGCCTTGGCCTCCCAAAGTGCTAGGATTACAGGCGTGAGCCACCGCGCCAGGCCAGTCTCACAGTTTTTAATGTGAATTGACATCTACCTTGGTCTCAATTCATTGCCTATTTTCCTATTTCTGTACTGCCTCTGTTACACTGTACTTTGACTTTTACTATAATGCTCCAAGTAAAACATTCCTCTTAGAGTTTAGTGCTGAGAGAAAAGTTTTCTCCTAAAAACCTGGTGTTCCCTTTCATTAGACAATAAGTAATTTATAAATCATACTGCCGCTGTCCATTTTGTATCTGAGCTGCGATGAACCTCGGATTTTGTGTAAATATCTTTAGCCTAGCCTTCTGATACTACTTCTATCTAAGGTTTTTTATTATGTGGTTAAAAATACATATGTGTTTTATTAAAAACTAACAAAGTACATTTTGAAAGTAGACAGGATGTAAACAATGAAATAGTGATGTTACATTAATATAATAAAATCAGATGAATTCATAATGTTCATTAATTTATTTTCCAAAATTTGATTTCTCTAGCCTGTGACTGGCCAATCAACATGATTGGTTTACTTATATGAAAAAAACAACAGTTGGCTTAGGCTTATGATTTTAGTATTTTAAAACATTTTTGCTAACACAGTAATGAGTCCAAAAGCATTTCTTTATCCTTTTTACATAGCAAATCCTTCTCTTTGACATCAGGGTGAAGGTAATTATATTTTTCACTAGGGAGTAAATAAGAACTAGTTTTATGGTAAACATTTTTGGTGAAGAATGACTGTTCTTGATGTTCAGGTTACCTGTTACTGGGTAACACGCAGAAATTTAAAAAATGTATTGCCTTTGTTCTTTATTCTTTTTTGTTCTTACAGCCTTTAAGACCTATATGAAAATGTTGTATTTCTAACTGTTAATCACTTGACTAAAAAATAGTATAGTACCATCCTGTATAAGCTGTATCTTTTCAATTTCAAGTCCCTCCTTCATTGTACATATATTTTAAAGATGTAGGTGTACATGGGATTTATGTTTTTAGTAGTACTTTGAAATTTTAAATCTCTGAAATTACTATAAATTTTAAAAAATTACTATAAAATTTAAAATATGAAATTACTATAAATACTGAAATTACTATAAATGGTTTATTTATTAATTGGAAATACTTCCTGAGAAAATACTTAAAAGGCTATAAAAAACAGACTTAGATAATCTTTATTTGATATGCTTACTAAATGATAACATTATTTACAATTTGTAAGCATTTTTTATTTTTGCCACAGCCTAGGATTTTTAAGCTTATATAGAAATTACCAACAAATAATTGGAAATCTTTACTTATAAAGTTACAAATACTTTTAGTTAGTATTAGATTTGAGAGCAAGTCTGCATTTAGTGGAATCATTTTTAGTTACATCAGATTCAGTTTGCAGACCAGTGGAAACAGGGTGGGTAAACACAAGCTAATTTTTAACAGTTTTAGAGTAGGTTATATTAAACACTTTTTAAAAAGTAATCATTTGAGGCATTGTTTTAGGTGCTAAAGTTATCTGAAGTAACTGAAGAAAATTAGATTGATTTTTTAAAAAACCTTTTAAAATTAATGAAGTGTGATGTCTAGAGTCTAATCAAGGAAAGGATAACTGTGTCCAATATCATCAAATTCTGCCTTCCATCTGCCTGTTCATATTCCCACACCACGGAGAATATAAAACTGTCTACCATGGCCACTAATAGGAACTGTTGAAATGCCACTTTAAGGTTCATTTAGCTGTTCTCAGCTCTCTGTTGGGAACTGAATGCTAGAGCATCTAGTTTGAAAATAAAAAGACTCTAATGGGGGTCTTTATGCACCTAGTATTTTTGGCAGTGATTAACAGTAGGGGGTGTACAGAAGGTCAAAAGCTCTTCTTTTGGAGGTCAGCAGAACACCCCCATCTGATAAGATTAAACTAATGTGGCTTTTGGTGTTAATATCTGAAGCAGCGGGTTGCTGTAGTGTGTTTGGGATGGTAGTTGTGGTTTTGAGAGATTATGAAAAAAGGACTGACGTGAAATTTCTAATAAGAAAATGTGTGATTCAGACATACAGCATTTACTGTTTCTTGCGGGGAGTTTGAAACTGGTTTTTGTTTCTAAAAATACTCCAATTTTTTTTTTGCTATTGCATAAGATGATTTTTTCTCAAATAATTTATATATGTGTATGCTGTGTATGCCATTAAGTGTTTTTATTTTTCCTTTGTGCCATTTTTAAGTGTTAAAGATTATTTGAAGTAAATCATTATGAAACTGAAGATAATTTATGATTTTCAAATTCAGGTGTATGAATTCGGTTAATATATTTATGTTCACTCCATAGTTTTCTGATTATTTTACTGGATATTTCAATGGACAGTATTGGCTTTGGTGGATATTTCTTGTACTTGGTAAGTTTATTCTTAATGCATTTAGTTTAACTTGGATATTTCCAAAAACTGTAAGATGTAAATAAACTGTGTTGCAATTTATGTGGAAATTATTTTTCTTCTGTAAAATTCTCATATTCAAACACATCATCTCACGTTTTTAAACTATTCTATATAGCACTACAGATTTCTTAGATTTAAAATCCAGAGGCTATCAGTGTAAAGAGTCAGTGGCGGGATGATAATTGAATGCTAAAAAATTTTAAAATAACAACGTGATAAAAAATTGTCTTTAGCATTTATCTCAGAAAACATACACAAATGACTTCTTTTAATGATCTTAGGAAATTTGAGAGTTGGATAGTTTGGTTGTTCTATCTGTTCTCTTATTTTTTGATCATGGAAACATTCTTTATGCTTTTGAAATGTGCCTTGAATTAATCATTAATCAGCCAGGCATAAGGAAAGGCTTTATGCCTAATGATCACAGTGCTTCTGTTGAGTTGTCTTCCTATAAGACGTGTCTTTTTATTAATATTGATGGAATTTTATGGATTTTCAATTTTTGTTCCCTTTTGTTTTTTACCTTCAATGTGAGATAATTAAGTTAATCATTAAATCACATTATATCTTTAATCCACATTTCAGATGTATTTGCTGACATAAGGAATACCTTTTGTTTCTAGTTAAGAGTAAAAGCCCATGTTTCACTCAGAATTTTACCAGAAAATAACAGCATTTCAGTAGGTGGCAGTCTTCTCTCTGAGTTTTTATTTAGTCATACTGTTGGATCTTTAGGATCTTTTGGGAAACAAATTATTGTTAGTCAGATAAGGTCACTTAATTCTTTAATAGCTATATTGAAATTATTTTAGTGTTGTGACTTTGTTGAGATGCATCTGGAGGTGAAGCCAGTTTTATATTATGTGTTCTAACTGCCTGAATGCCGTGTTCTTTATTGAGTTTCTTACCTAAAAGTGAGAAGGTTTATAAAGTCTATTAAGTATTTAAGCATATTAAATGAGTACATTTGTGTGTATATATATATTATTTAGAGATTGGAGGAATCTTAAGGAGGTTAGTGTGGGGCAGAGTAGAATACAGAGGACAATGCCAGTTCCACTTCAGAGCCATAATCTAGTGTTTATTTATTTAGGGGAATGTGAAAATGTAATCAGTGATAAAAATGTTGCTCTCACATATGCTGAAAAGAATGTTGAGCACTTTGTAGAATGCTGAGAAACAGTAGCCACTGAGCGATTGGTTTTTAGGTATGAACTGGGTGGCTTCTTTTAGAAAATGCCTGAGAAGTAAAATGTGTGTTAGAAAACAGCAGCTTTAGAGACAAAGGAAGGGATCCCACAAATAAGTTGGTTTACATTTTTCAATAATATTTTTACATTTGGATAACAGTATTATTATCTTTGAACAGCATCTGGAAGGGCATGAGGGTGGAATTCAGAAGGAGTCCCAAAAGGAGGGAGTTAGGATATGGGAAGCAGATGCGATTGGGTTTAGCTGTAATTTATACCATTTAAGTCATCATTTGTATCTCTCTTCTGTCTTTCCTCTCCAATTTACTACACACATGCTTCTTGTTTTTAGTGATTTGATTACTGTCTTGCAGTTGGGGTACAAATTTAGTTTGAGACTTCATATTTTAAATTCACAAACTCCTTTTCCTCCTGGTGAGGAAAGTCATACACATACAGTAGATATCTTCTGTTTTTGTTTTTGGATCCCCCCCACCCTGTTTTCCTGGTTAAAAATTTGCTGGAGTTAATAAATGTTTCCCTAAGAATCATATGCTTAAGTATTTCAAAGGCTTATACTAGTAATGGTAATGTTTTATACTTATCTAATATTTTTTATGTGAAACTTTAGAGAATTTTACAGGTATTGCTTTTTAAATTATTAAATATATTTGTGGTTGTTATTTTAAAATACTACTTTACAAAGGAGAAAACTGAGGTAGATATAAGATGTATCCCAAATAATCTAAATCATTAGAGTGACTGTCTTCCAAGTTGTCTTTTCTAACTCATCTTAATTTTTTATTATAAGTTAGTTTTTTATTATTACTTCAAAATAAGAACTCATAATTAAAAATATGTACATAATGCACGTATCTTCAAATACAGATTTCACAGATGACAGGCACTTGATATTACTATACAGGCTTATTGTTTTTTTCCTCATAATTGTTAGTAACCTCATGTATATATTTCCTTTTTATCTACTTTATATAAATAAATATGTCTTAGTTCACCCAGTAGTTATATTAATTGAAAAGATTGAGCCCATGGGTTCAATGGGGTTTTTATGAGTTGAATCAGTTTAAGTGCGTCAGGTAACTTTACTATTGAAGAAAATCACTTAAATGTATATTTTTATGTAATTCTGGATTTTTATAGCTAGATTTGCTTTAATTTTGGTACATCTAGGCTTAACAAATTGAAAAATTGTATTTCCTTGTGACAGAGTTTATCCTTATAGTGTAAAATATATTACAGAAATGAATGGAAGTCTGCAAGTAAAATTCCTTAAGCCAAGAGGATCTTGTTTATAATTGTCTACTTTAAATTTATCTTGCCCTTTTCTGTATAAAAACATAGTATATCCATATTATTTCAACCTTCTCAGGCCTGCTCCTTTTCTTCAGAGGATTTGTTAATTATCTAAAAGTCAGAAACATGTCTGAAAGTATGGCAGCTGCTCATAGAACAAGGTATTTCTTCTTATTGTAGAGGTAAGAAATATTAATCTGTGAACTCTGCCTATTCCCTTTATGTATTCAAATTTGCCAGATACATATTAAATGCCTAATGTGTATTCATGATTTTTACTGTTAGCATATTTAATATTTTTTAATACTGCTAACAGTCAGCTTATTGAAATTTGATAAGTCATAGACCTTTTTAGATAACTTTTAGATTTTTAAAATTGAATTTCATAAATTTTAATTTTTAAAATACATAGCGAGTGAACTGAAATTTTGAATCAGACTTTTAAAACTTCTCTTTAAAGATTAACCATAGAATGTATATGAAGTAACCACCAGCACAAAATTTGAAGGCTTGAAAAAACAAAATATGACATAGTACTTAGACCGAAGGAATGAGCATTTTTGTCTAAAACAATATGAAATTCACATAGACATCTGGTGGAGAAAAAAATCTGATTGAAAAACAATTTGTCTTGCAGTCCTTTTAACAGTCTGGATTAAGGAATAAAAGTCATGTGAAGAAAATAGTTCTGTTATTGTTTTCTTAATGTGTGCTGATTTTTTATCAACTATGAAGGCTACAACTTGAATAAGTAGGAATATGAAGAAATGAGTAGAAGTTGTCTTACTGGTTATCCAGTGAATTTCTGGAGGTCGTGGGTATAGTAATAGTATTTATTTATTGTTCAGCGGGAGTATCTTCACATAAAGTAACCTCATACTCCCTATTCTACTTTTTAAAGCAAGTACCATGTACTTTATACCTATAAATAAGGTAAACTTATAAAGCATTTGAACTCTATTACCAAAATGTCTACTAGTACTTAACTTCTGAATGCAGGACTATAAGGAACAAAGTGTTTCAAGTTTATTAAGTATTCTTTTTTCAAATAAATAAACTGCATGCTTTGTGATTTGGTTGCTTACATTTTATCATTTATATAAGTTATACATAAGCTTATATAATTTACTTATTTCTGCTAGAGTACTATGAATACATTTGTATTTCTAGATCATGTTAAAGTATCATTTTAAGTGTTCTACTAAAGTCTCCCCCAACCACTCCCAAAGAAGTCGCTTTTTTATTTTAACAAGCAAAATATCTTTGCAGACACTGGCATTAAGAATTTGTCAGTATTAATAATAAGATTAAAAGGCAAAGTAATTTTGCTGTTTTACTAATTTGTGTGATTGTCTTCTATGCATTTTGAAGAGTCTAAAATACAATGCAAATATTTTCTAGATGAAAATCTGCTATAGAAGCCTTACACTTTAGAATGTATTCTGATATGTAGACTTTAATGAAGAGAATATTATATACTTAATATAATTCTTCTATAAAATGTGTTGTATTATACTATGATTTAGATAAAGACAACTTAATACATTTTAAGACTAATTCCTTCTTTGTCTCCAGACTGCATCAACCCGACATTCCTTTCTTATACCAATGTGAAATTTCCAGATCATCTGTAAACCTACAACTTTAATAGAAGACTACTAATAACAGAAGACAAATTAGTGAAGAAAAGACGGAGTTTCGAAATTGAATGGCAGGGTGGTTTTTGCTTACAAGCCATTTCTGTTCATTCTTTAAGTATCTATATTTCATTTGTTTTGCACATATGCATATGTGCCCATTTAAGATATTTGCATATACTTGATAGAAACCATAAAGTTGTAGCAGTTAAGTCCAGTCACATTTGGTTAATCAGTGTTTGATATAATTGAAAGAGTTGAGTGGATAAACAGTCTTCCAGCTTGTAAATGCCATTGACTTCTGACCTGACATTTAGTATAATAAAAATGAAATTCTTAACCATGTCAAATGATTTAGTTTCTGGCTCTTAGACTCATCTGGCAGTTCTACACATGAAACATCTTTTGTTATATAAGGTGTATTGAAACCTGCAGTGCTGATTATTAGAAAGGATTTGTCAGATTTTTGAACATGATATTTACATTATTATTTAGGAAAACTCTTCCTGTAAATAACCATGCATAACTTACTTTCTGCAATGTTTTCTTAGAAATTGTGTCCAGATAGCTTTCACTAATTTTAAATTAAGTGAACTAAATATATATGTGTATATGTATACACATATATATACACACACACATATATATATTTAGAAACGTGAGTGTTAAAGATAGAATTTGTTTTAGGACAAATTTTAAGAAAATGTGGGAATACCAAATGTCCTTTATAAGAAAAATAAATTTTATTTTAAGGGACATACTAGTTTTAGGGATTTTCAGATGGGAAGCTGCATTTTTAGGATTGCCCATCTTAAGAGATCTTGCAGGAAGAGATTGTATTAGATATTATATTTATTTCATTTAAGATAATTTTCAAAGTTAATTTTCTAAATAAGATAATTCTCATTTGTGTTTGTCTTTTAAAAGGCCAATAAAATATCTTTCAGTATCATTGTAATAATTTTTTAGAGTTTAATTTGTAAAGCTTAGCAAATAAAATCTTGTACTATGAATAGCTTCTTGCTTTATGACTTTAGGATTAACTTGTAAAAAACATATCCTGAACTGAGATATGCAAAATACTCATTTTCAAGTTATGGAAATGTGTTTGTGGCATATAGGACTGTGGGGTCTGTGTGTGTAGTGAGAGTGTGTAGCCACTATTATAACTGGAATTTAATTTACATTCATAAACTACTATATTTCCCATCTTGCAAATCATTTTATGTCTCATCTGTTTTTCCTTTCGGTTATATCTTTGGTTTTGAATACCAACATTTAAAATGATGGTATTTTATCTTTTAAACTTAAAAATTATTTAATACAGCTATATGGACCTTATAAAATTGATTTCTTATTTATTATTAGACATTACTACTAAAAGGTACATCTAACTATTCAGGGACATTTTTCCATTTCCAAAAAATAAAATTTATTATGCTTTATAACCTCTTCTGTATTTTCTAATTTTTTCATTGTCTTTGATAAATAAAACAGTTTTGTTTTGCTAATATAGCCTATTTTTTGTTTTGTCTCATTCAGTTTACTTTCCTGCGTAGAATTTTTATTGTTATATTAAAATTTTTATTGTTGTATTAAAGTACCTGTGTTACACCCCTTGAAGTAAGACAGTAGCATGGGGTAAAGAAAAAATATTTAGTTTAGTTGCCTAATTTGGAAGTTAATTAAAATTAAACTGTACTAATAACATATTCAAACTCATGCTGGATCTCTTTCATATTAATTTCTTATAGACCTGTACTTTATTCTTTCAATAATTTTTAAATGAAATTAAGCTTTGCTACATGGTAATTAAATAATTACTAGGAAGCTTAGCTATCAAACATCGACTTACTAAAATTTCATTTTAGCTTTTATGGTATATGTGCTTGTTTTCTGAATATGGATACATGTTACTTTTGATCCAGCATCAAAACTTCACTTTTTGTTTTGACTTTTCCCCCCAAATCTGTAAGGTTCAAGTATACATATTACTGAATCCTCTATAATTGGCATAATTCAATGGTAGCCTTAAATCTCATCATGTAAGCAGGGGAATCAGAATGTTATTTTCAAGAACTTAATGTTCCCTTCAGATATATAAAATCCTGCATACTTCATTTCCTGTGAGCTTGAACAGCTGCTGTTGTGTTTTGGGGATGCTTGATCATCTTTGCACTCTGCCTTAAAGATTGAAAAATCAAAACTCTTGTTAGGGTATCTAAACATTTTTGAGTGTGAACTGGGGATTGGAAGTTAATACAAAAAAATTTCAAATTATTTCTATTGTAAATGAATAAGCTAGTCATGGCTAGGATAATCCATTTTCATGTATTTATGCAATAAACTGAATTTTAAGGCAAAAACAACACTTTTCTATATAGTGTATGCAGGACAGATTTTAGAAACTTAGATTAAAATACAAATCCCATTACATTTGGTTAAAATGAAAATCTCTGCTTAATGGAAAAAATACTAATCTTTAGCCTATTTTGAGTCTATAAGATATATTTCATTTTAGACATGCCTTCTAAGTTGTTCACAGATTTTTACCTGCTAAAACAATATTATTTCCAGTAAAACCTCTCCTAACAGGAAAAGTGGAGTTCAAAATATCCAATTGGAGAAAAATTCAGAGTTCCTTCATTAAATATAATTTTTTTCATCTAGTATGTACTATTTCAAGAAGTGCAAAAAGTAATGATAGTGAATGTGATACCATACTTAACTAAGGTAATATATATCCTTAGTTTGCTCAAAAGAGTCCTGGTTATTCCTGTTTTCTCAGCTTAATAGTGCCTCATCGTACTCTCAAAAGTGTTCTAATTTGGAGGATAAGTTATATGATCATCCTGTGTATAATTGTAGACTGTACCAAGAAGCAACTACCTTAGCTCCACTGCCCTTTGAGGGATGGAACTGGGGTAAGGGCAGGAGCCAGTTATTATTGCCACAGTGTTTTCTAATGAACCATTTGGCCTGTAGAAGAGGAATAGTATTTTTTTTAATAGTTGTATTTGAATGATTCCAGCTTATCGTAAATACTAAACTGAATGGCTTTTATATTTTTAACTGCTGTTAAATGTTATTTTAGCATTTATTAGTTGTTTATTATTTAATTCTTCAAATAGTCATATGAAAACATATATTTGATAAAGGTCAATTGTTAGATGATAATGTGCCATTCATTATCATAGGAATGTCCTTGCCCATATATAAAACATGCTGGCATGTATTTTACTTGTTAATAAAGTTGTATAGATGTGGAAGTGTGAACCTGTGATGCATCCTTTTCAAAATCAGTTTAAGATTCGCATATTATCATGACTGTGACCTCACTAAACTGTTTATGTGACAAACCTTTCAAGATTGGAGATGAAAACAACACTTGTGAAATTAGGTTGGGGTTGCAACATCTTTTAACTTCTCAGTTATTTGTATGTCAGGAGACAGATTGTGGTTTAATTTTAATAAACAAAATATCATCTTTTTGAAAATAATTTATGTTCATTTCTACTTTGTAAAGTATCATTGGTCACCTACGTCAGACCTGCTTATGGGTTTGAATTCTTATTTGGGACATAATACCTAACGTGAAAATTTCCAGCAAGTAATTAAGAAAAATAGAAAACTCATTTCATACTTTTAAAAATATGTTTTTAAAGTTTAAGCTCAGAATATTTGCTTCTTTTACTTTTTTAATGTTTTGAGCTTATATTTCATTATTTTTGTTTTGAGAGATTGAGTTACTTGCTTTTAAAAAAATTCTCTTTGTTTTAGTAGAAACTATTATTTAAAAAAAAAATCAACACCTAAACAGAGAATATATGGGGTATTACTCCTTTAACAGCGGAGGTTATAGCAAACCAAAGCAATACTTCCAGTTCACGGAATCTTAGGGGTTTTCTATCTCTTCATGCTTGCAAAGAACCACTTTACTACTCCCTAATTAACTTCGTATTTGCTCCTTAAGTCTTCTCTCCTGCAAGTGGAATTAAAGCAAAAGTTACCTAGATGACATTTGATCTTAAGGGACGCAATTAGGTGAAGAGGGGAAGGCAGTTGCTTGTTTACCAAGCAGTAAAGTATTCTAGCTGGTAAGAAAAGTGGAAGTTTGCACAGATCTCTCCAGGCAAAAGGGTCCCTCAGATTTTTAATCTGAATTGATTTAGATGATACTACTTTATAACTAGTGACATGTTTATTTTGCTCAAAGAGCCACTGCACTGAAATCCTTGTTAGAAGTGATCAGGAAATAAGTTGGTGGGCATGTTCTTTCTGATTCTAGGATAAATTACTTCACCAGCTTTCTCTTACAATCATAGGTCAACCTTGGGTTTATTTTTAAAAATGGCAGTTATGTCAAAAAGGCAATACTTAGATGGGAATCAAATTCCCCAGACTCTACCCTGATCGTCCTTTGGATCATTGAAATATTTTCGAATGCCTGTTAATAGTTCTTGAAGAGATGATGCTGTTACTACCACATAAAATCCATCTTTTACTCTATTCCTCTTTCCACCTTCTTTGAAAAAACAACAACAACAACAAAAAAAACCAAAAACCTTAATTGCTATCTCTTTTAGGAAACCTTTTTCTCTCATCCTCTTTAATTTTGATCATCTTGGTTTCCATAGCCCTATGTGTGATTTCTGTCAAGGTACTTATGAGACAGTGCTGGGAGTATTAATTTTTAGGTTACTATCCTCAATGGTAGATATTATATCTTACTCAATTTTGCATGTCACTGCCCCCCCCCCCGCCCCGCCCCACAACACCTAAGCACAAAGCTCAATACATTTAATGAATGGTTGGATAGGATGGATGCCAGAGTGAGGCTGTGTGTATGTACTGGCATATATAAAATGCCTTCTGGCCTTTAACTTAGTGTCTAATAGAGGAAGATTTATAAACAGGAAAATTGGCTAGTATTCAGGTAGGAACAAAAATCATGGGTCAGAGCAATTGAACTCCAGGAGAAAAAGGGCAGTCTTCACTGCAGAGGTGACATTGGAACTAGATGTTAAAGAATAAGTAGAAGTGTGCACTGTGTTTAAGCATTTCATACATTCTCATATTTTTCCATCTCTTGCATGATGTTCTCTGCCTTCCTTGATTCTCCTCAGAAGGAAGGAATTATCTTTCCAATTCTCATAACAGTTCTTCTGAGGCTCTTTATTAAACCGCTTTCTACTGTGTATCTCAGTACTTTGCATTCATGCCTCACCACTTCTGCTTGAGGGCAGGATCTGTGTGAGGTGTAGAGTCATAGCCTCCAATGGGCCTAGCACATACTAAACACCTTTAAAAGATCAAGATTTTCCACATCATTGTGAGCCACTCACTTTACCACTGCAGATACCACTGCAGGTGTCCACAGTGGTACAGACTTCCTTTTCTCCAAATGCACTGTGCAAGAAGTAAGTAGAATAATTGCGAACATCTTTTTCACATATCTCCCAACTTCATCTCCCTCTCTAGAAGTAACCACTATTAACAATTTATTACACGCTCTTACAGATGTTTTCTGTGTAGATTTTTCTACTAGGATGAGCCTGTGCTCTATGATGTCAGCATAACTTCTGGTTATGAAGGTGAGAGGATCCCAGTTATGTCTGAAAAAGTGTACCTCTTGCTTTGTAATTATAGGATACCACTCTCAGGGGAGAGTAGTGTTTCTTTATTGCAAACATAGTTTATTTACTGAGAAACCAAGGTTTATTTTCTTGGTCCTTTAGTCTCTAGATGAAGAATGACTTGTGGTTTCAAGGCCGTTGGGAGCTGAACTGTTCCAGGATCTGATACATGCAGCAGGTAAATGTGCTATTTTATGAACACCTTACAACTCCATTTGGTGAGAAGTTCTCTGAAATGAGGTCATTTGGAGGGAAAAGATCAGAGTTGACAAGAAAGTCCAGCCTGGGTAGGCTGAGAGAAGACTAAAATGATGCTGGGTTTAGGCTGGGCGTGGTAGCTCACGCCTGTAATCCCAGCACTTTGGGAGGCCAAGGCAGGTGGATCACATGAGGTCAGGAGATCGAGACCAGCCTGGCCAACGTGGTGAAACCCCGTCTCTACTAAAAATACAAAAATTAGCTGGGTGTGGTAATGGGCGCCTGTAATCTTAGCCACTTGGGAGGCTGAGGCAGGAGAACCACTTGAACCCAGGAGGCAGAGGTTGCAGTGAGCCAAAATCACACCACTGCACTGCAGCCTGGGTGACAGAGTGAGACTCCCTCTCAAAAAATAAAATAAAATAAATAAATAAATAAATAAATAAATAATTGGTGCTGGGCTTAAAGTGAATTCCCTTTGTTTTAGGACCAGTGTGTCCCAGGATATGGCAATCACTGTTCTCTGACTAAACCTACAGACATTTGGAATCCCTCTGTATTAGTGTTCTCCAGAGAAACAGAACCAATAGGATCTGTGTATGTATGTATATATGTATGGTCAATAGATCCATCTGTATAGGTATTTATTATCGGAATTGGCTTATCTGATTATGGTGGCTGAGAAGTCCTCCCATTTGCAGTCTGCAAACTGGAGAACCAGGAAAACTGGAGATGTAATTCACTGAGTCAGGAGTCAGAAGGGCTGAGAACCAGGAGAGCCTATGGTGTAACTCCCAGTCCCAGTTGGAAGGTGGGAGGGAGTGGGGTGAAGAAATGGTGTAAGTCTGGAGTCCAAAGGCCCAACAACCAGGAGCTCCAGTGTATAAGGGCAGGCAAACATGAATTGTCCCAGCTCAAGAAAAGAGAGATAATTCACTCCTCTTCCATATTTTTGTGCTATTTTGGCTCTCAATGGATTGGAAGATGCACACCCACATAGGTGAAGCCAGATCTTCTTTACTCAGTCTACTGTTTGAAATGTTAATCTTTTCCGGAAACACCCTCACAGACACACCTGGAATAATGTTTAATCAGCTGTCTGGGCATCCCTTACCTCAGTCAAGTTGACACATAAAATTAACCACCACACCCTTCTATCTTCTTCCCAAATTTTTCCTGCCTGAATGCCAGTATGATATCTGGAGGTGAAGTGGGACGCAGATACACAGTTTGAGTTCTCTGTACTGTGTAGTGATAAACAGTTTGGGTTGCTCTTAACAAGACTGAAGTAAGTAAGATCCTCAGTGGCTAAGCCAATGGCTCACAATGATGTGCAAAATCTTGCACCTTATTTTTAAAAGTGCTTACAGTAACCTCTGTTCTGTAGAATTTACAGGAGAGCTGCTTAGGCCTTCACAAGCCCCAACATGAAAAAAAAAAAGAGTTGCAAGTCTTACCATCCCACAGGGGTTACCACCCAGACTCCTCACGCATGGTTTGATTTTCAATCAACTCACTACTGTGGCAGTGTGTAAGTAGTTTAAGTAATGGGTTTATATCTGCTTGACTGTCGCCCCTTTATTCTCCAATTGTGTCCCAGTTGGCAACCCAGTACTTCCCAGTCGCTTCTAGAGAATGGCTTAGTGAAAATGTCAGCAGCCATGATTTCAACAACTATCTCAAAGGTCATTCCGAGCTGTCCACATTGACCACCAACAAAACTTTGCCAAGGGAAGCAGGTGCCATTTTCTTTTTTCCCCTTCCCTTCCCTTCCCCTCCACTTCCCCCTTCCCCCTTCCTTTTCCCTTCCCTTCCCTTTTTTCTTTTTTTGGCCACCTTCCTGGCTGGGAAAGCTGGTGCCATTTTCAAATATCTGCTTGGAAAAACAAATCAGAATGGCTGGGTGAAATCAGCACTCCCTTTTATGGTAGTACAGCTCCCAAATACATAATGTTGGGTTTTTAGAGAAGAGTTAAAGAAAATATGGCAGGAGTGAGGCAAGATGGCTGACCAGAAGCAGCTACAATGTGTGATTCTCACAGAAGGGAGTGAAAGGGGTGAGTACATACAGCACCATTAACTGAAACATCCAAGTACGCGCATTGGGACTGATCAGGGAAATGGCTCCACCCATGGAGAATGGAGAAAAGCAAGATAGAGTGATGGCCCACTCAGGAGTGACATGAAATCAAGAGATCCCCAATCCCTGGCCCAGGGAAACAGTGAGTGAGTGTGCAACCTCAGGAACCCATGCTTTTCCCATGGATCTTTGCAACCCTCAGATCAGGAGATCCCTTCATGAACCCATTTCACCAGGGCCTTGGGTCTGACACATAGAGCTGCATCGAGTCTCAACAAAACAGCTACTCAGGCACGCACAGAGATCCAAGAGCTTTACATACTTGGGATCTGAGATTCCTGACAAAGGTGACTGCAACTCAGGCAAAGCAGGAGGTCCGTACATACCCCTAGGAAGGGGGCTGAATCCAGGGGGCTGAGCAGTGTTGGTCTGTGGGTCCCACTCCCATGGTACCTCACAAGAAAAGACTGACTGGCTTGGAATTCCAGCCAGCCACTGGCAACAGTGTAGCACTTACCTGAGACAGGACAGAGCTTCTTGGGGGAGGAGCAGGCCACCATCTTTGCTATTTGGATGACTCAGCCATTTTAGCCTGCAGGCTTTGGAGAGTCCAAACAGACTGGGTGTGGAAGGGATCCCCCAGCACAGCACAGCTGCTCTAGCAAAATGTGGCCAAACTGCTTCTTTAAGTGGGACCTGATCCATTCTTCTGCATTGAGTGGGACCTCAGCCAAGTCCTCCAGCCACGTCCTACAGGTGTGTTCAGGCTGGCAACAGGTTTGTGCCCCGCTGGGATGGAGCTCCTAGAGGAAGGGGCAGGCTGCCATCTTTGCTGAATCACAGCCTTCACTGGTAATACCTCCAGGTAATTCACTGGTAATACCTCCAGGTAATTCACTGGTAATACCTCCAGGTAATTCACTGGTAATACCTCCAAGTACTGGAAAGTCTGAGTCAACTAGGGTCTGGAGTGGATCCCCCAGCAAACCACAGCAGCCCTATGGAAAAGTGTCCAGACTGTTAAAAGAAAAAAAAAAAAACACATAAAAAAACCAAAAATCCCATTCAAAGGTCAGCAGCCTCAAAGATTGAAGGTAGATAAGCCCACAAATATGAGAAAGAATCAGTGCAAAACCGCTAAAAGTTCAAAAAGCCAGAATGCCCTCTTCTAAATAACAGCAACACCTCTCCAACAAGGGTTCAGAACTGGGCTGAGGTTGAGATGGCTGAAATGACAGAAGTAGACTTCAGAATGTGGATAAAAACAAACTTCACTGAGCTAGCGGAGCACGTTGTAACCCAATGCAAGGAAGCTAAAAATAATGATAAAACAATGCAGGAACTGACAGCCAAAATAGTATACAGAACATAACCAACCTGATAGAGCTGAAAAACACATTACAAGAACTGCACAATTCAATCACAGGTATTAATACCAGAAGACACCAAGTGGAGGAAAGAATTTCAGAGCTGGAAGACTTTCTGAAATAAGACAGGCAGACAAGAATAGAGAAAAAAGAATGTAAAGGAATGAACAAAACTTCAGTGAAATATGGGACTATGTAAGGAGACTGAATCTACAACTGATTAGGGTACCTGAAAGAGATGAAGAGAATGGAACCAATTTGGGAAACATATTTCAGGGTATTGTCCAGGAGAACTTTCCCAACCTAGCTAGACTGATCACTATTCAAATTCAGAAAATGCAGAGAACCCCAGTAAGATACTCAATGAGAAGATCATCCCCAGGACACATAATCTTTAAATTCTCCAAGGTCAAAATGAGAGAAAACATTAAGAACAGCCAGAGAGAAAGGCCAGGTCACCTACAAAGGGAAGCCCATCAGACTAACAGCCAACCTCTCAGTGGAAATTCTACAAATCAGAAGAGATTAGAGGCCAATATTCAACATTCTTAAAGAAAAGAAACCCCAACCCAGAATTTCATATCCAGCCAAACTTAGCTTCATAAATGAAAGAGAAGATCCTTTTCAGACAAGCATATGCTGAAAGAATTTGTTACCACCACACCTACTTTACAAGGGCTCCTGTAGGAAGCACTAAATATGGATAGGAAAAACTGTTACCAGACACTATAAAAACACACTGAGGTACACAGACCAGTGACACTATAAAGCAACAACATAAACAAGTTTACAAAATAACCTTATAGTTAGCATCATGATGACAAGATGAAATCCACACACTAACCTTAAATGTAAATGGGCTAAATGCCCCAATTAAAAGACACAGAGTAGCAAGCTGGATAAAGAACCAAGACCCAAGTTATGCTGTCTTCAGGAGAGTCATCTCATGTGCAAAGACACACACAGACTCAAAGGGATGGAGGAAAATTTAACAACAAATGGAAAACAAGCAGGGGTTGCAATCCTAGCTTCTGACAAAATAGACTTTAAATCAACAAAGATGAAAAAAGACAAGGGCATTACATAATGGTAAAGAGATCAATTCAACAAGAAGAATTAACTATCCTAAATATATGTGCACCCAATACAGGAGCACCCAGACTCATAAAGCAAGTTCTTAGAGACCTACAAAGAGACTTAGACTCCCACACAATAATAATGAGAAACTTTAACACCCCACTGACAATATTAGAAGAGATAGAAAATTCACAAAGATATTCAGGACTTGAACTCAGCTGTGGATCAAGTGGACCTGATAGATATGTACAAAACTCTTCACCCTAAAACAACAGAATATACATTCTTCTCATCACCACACATCATGTACTCTAAAACTGATCACATCAGAAGTAAAACACTCCTCAGCAAATGCATAAGAACTGAATCATAACACACAGTCTGTCAGACCACAGCACAATCAAATTAGAACTCAAGATTAGGAAGCTCACTAAAAACCATGAAACTAAATGGAAACTGAACAACCTGCTCCTGAATGACTCTTGGATAAATAATGAAAATAAGGCAGAAATCAAGAAGTTCTTTGAAACTAATGAGAACAAAGATAAAACATACCAGAATCTCTGGGACACATCTAAGGCAGTGTTAAGAGGGAAATTTATAGCAGTAAATGCCCACATCAAAAAGCTAGAAAGATCTCAAGTTAACAGCGTCACAACTGAAAGAACTGAAGAACCAAGAGCAAACAAATTCCAAAGCTAGTAGAACACAAGAAATAACCAAAATCAGAGCTGAACTGAAGGGGAGAGAGACAGAAAAAACAAAAAAATTCAAAAGATCAATGAATCCAGGAACTTTTTTTGAAAAAATTAATAAAATAGATAGACTGCTAGCCAGACTAATAAAGAAGAAAGAAGATTCAAATAAACACAATCAGAAATGATTACTACTGGCTCCACAGAAATACTAACAATCATCAGAGAATATTAGAAACACCTCTATGCATATAAACTAGAAAAATCCAGAAGAAATGGATAAATTCCTGGGTACATTCACTCTCTCAAGACTGAATCAGGAAGAAATGTAATCCCTAAATAAACCAATAATGCATTCTGAAATTGAGGCAGTAATAAATAGCCTACCAATCAAAAAAGGCCCAAGACCAGATGGATTCACACTAAATTCTACCAAATGTCCAAAGAAGAGCTGGTACCATTCCTACTGAAACTATTCTAAAAAATTGAAAAGGAAGGACTCCTCCCTAACTCATTCTATGAGACCAGCATCATCCTGATATCAAAACTGTGCAGAGGTACAACAACAAAAAAGAAAACTTCAGGCCAGTATCTCTGATGAACATCAATGCAAAAATCCTCAACAAAATACTGGTAAACCAAATCCAGCAGCATGTCAAAAAGCTTATCCACCACAATGAGGTAGGCTTCATTTCTGGGATGGAGGGTGGGTTCAGCATACACAAAACAATAAATGTGATTTATCCCATAAACAGTACTAAAGACAAAAACTACATGATTATCTCAATAGATGCAGAAAAGGCTTTTGATAAAATTCAACATCCCTTCATGTTAAAAACTCTCAATAAACTAGTTATTGAAGGAACATACCTCAAAATAATAAGAGCCATTATATGACAAACCCACAGCCAATATCATACTGAATGGGCAAAAGTTGGAAGCATTCCCCTTGAAAACTGACATCCTTGAAGACAAGGATGACCTCTCTTATCACTCCTATTCAACATAGCATTGGCCAGGGCAACCAGGCAAGAGAAAAAAATAAAGTATATTCAGATAGGAAGAGAGGAAATGAAACTATCCCTGCTTGCAGATGACATGATCTTATATCTAGAAAACCCCATGGTGTCAGCCCAAAAGCTTCTTAAGCTGATAAACAACTTTAGCAAAGTCTCAGGATACAAAATCAATGTGCAAAAATCACTAGCATTTCTATACACCAACAACAGTTAAGCCGAGAGCCAAATCATGAATGAGCTCCCATTCATCATTCCCACAGAAAGAAAATACCTAGGAAGTCAGTTAACAAGGGAAGTGAAGGACCTCTACAAGGTGAACTACAAACCACTGCTCAAAGAAATCAGAGATGACACAAACAAATGGAAAAACATTCCATGCCATGGATAGGAAGAATCAATATTGTGAAAATGGCCATACTGCCCAAAGCAATTTATAGATTCAATGCTATTCCCATTAAACTACCACTGACATTCTTCATAGAACTAGAAAAAACTTTTTAAAATTTATATGGGACCAAAAAAAGCCTGAATAGCCAAAGCAATCCTAAGCAAAAAGAACGAAGCTGGAGGCATCATGCTACCTGACTTCAAACTATGCTTTAGGGCTACAGTAACCAAAACAGCATGGTACTGGTACAAGAACAGACACATAGACCAATGGAACAGAATAGAGAACTCGGAAATAAGATTAAACACCTACAACTATCTGATCTTTGAGAAACCTGACAAAAACAGACAATGGGGAAAGGGTTCCCTATATTTAATAAATGGTGCTGAGATAACTGTCTAACCATATGCAGAAAATTGAAACAGGACCTCGTTCTTCCACCATATAACAAAATCAACTCAAGATGGATTAAAGACCTAACTGTAAAACTAAAAACTATAAAAACCCTAAAAGAAAACCTAGTTAATACTGTTCAGGACATAGGCACAGGGAAAGATTTCATAACGAAGATGCCAAAAACAATTGCAAGATGCCAAAAGCAATTGCAACAGAAGCAAAAATTGACAGATGGTATCTAATTAAACTAAAGAGCTTCTACACAGCCAAATAAACTATCAGCAGAGTAAATGGACAACCTACAGAATGGAAGAAAACTTTGCAAACTATGCAGCATCTATAAGGAACTTAAATTTACAAGCCAAAAACAACCCAATTAAAAAGTGGGCAAAGGACATGAACAGGCACTTCTCATGCTGCCAGCAATCATACATGTGGCCAACAATCATATGAAGAAAAGCTCAACATTACTGATTATTAGAGAAATGCAAATCAAAACCACAATGAGATACCATCTCACACCAGTCAGAATGGCTATTATTTTGACTATAAAATTAAAAAAAAAAACAGATGTTGGTGAGGTTGTGGAGAAAAAGGAATGCTTTTACACTGTTGGTGGGAGTGTAGATTAGTTCAACTATTGTGGAAGACAGCCTGACGATTCCTCAAAGAATTGTCTAGAAACAGAAATACCATTTGACTTAGCAATCCGTTACTGAGTATATACCCCACATCACTCTATTATAAAGACACATGCACATGTATGTTCATTGCAGCACTATTCACAATAGCAAAGACATGGAATCAACCTAAATTCTGAACATTAAAGGTAAGCTGCATAATGAAAATGTGGTACATATATACACCATGGAATACTATGCAGCCATAAAAAAGAACAGGATCATGTCCTTTGTAGGGACATAGATGGAGCTGGAGGCCATAATTCTTAGCAAACTTAACACAGGAACAGAAAACCACATACCACATGTTCTCATTTATAAGTGGGAACTAAATTATGAGAACACATGAACATATAGAGGGAACAACACACAGTGGCCGAAGAGAGGGTGGAGGGTAGGAGGAGGGAGAGGACCAGGAAAAATAACTAGTGGATACTAGGCTTAATACATGGGTGATGAAATAATCTGTACAACAAACCCCTATGACACGTTTACCTATGTAACAAAGCTGCACATCCTGCACATGTACCCCTAAACTTAAAAATTAAAAAAAAAATGTAAAGAAGTCCTACAGAGAGACACACCTCTTGCTTGTTCAGGTTCCAGATTCTGAATTCGACCTTCTCTTAACTCCGCAGAATGCAGTTGAGATGCATAGAAAAAGTCTGGGACTACTTACACCTATTTGCTAGCAGTAGGTGTTAACTCTTTTCTTCTTTTGTTCCTACTGCCTTCTTGGCCTTTCTTCCTTCTCCCCTCCTCCCTCTCACCATTTTCTTGTATCATTGCCTGAAGTCAGGAGTAAAGCTCAAATATTAAAAAATCTGGAAGAGGTCTGGTGCAGTGCTCACATCTGTGATCCCAGGGCTTTGAGAGGCCAAGGCGGGAGTTCACCTTGAACTCTTGGCAGAAGACCAAGAGTTCAAGGCTGTAGTGAGTGCTGATCATGCCACTGCACTCCAGCCTGGGTGACAGAGACACTGTCTCTGGAAAAGAAAAATCTGGAAGAGAATTGAAAAAAACCTACTTGTAATATGAGTATGTTAACTTTAGCCATTCATATGCATTGTCAAATCTCTGGGTCTTCGAATTCTAGCAAAATGTTTCTCATTTTTCATAATGCTAATATCTTACCTGTCTGTGAACTAGAGGTTAATTTTAATTTTTATTTTTTAGATTTAGTACACTGTTGGGAAGTGGGGAGGGAAAAAGTTCGCCTCTTACTTTTGATGTTTCCTTCCATGTGGAGGGAATGTGATAGTCTAACTCCTGACTTTCCTCCACCTCTTTATTAGTTCTTCCCCAGGGGAGTCATTTATTTGATGGGTAAATTTGAGATGTAAATACCTGAATATGCTCTGCTCAACTTCTTCTTCCTTTGGGGAGCTCACAGTTCACAGGAGTTGCTGCTATGCTCTGTTCTTCAGGGTCGGCTCTGCTGTACCCCCACCCAGGGAAGTGGCTCACAGTCCACCACTTCCTGGGTAGGGTACAAGGGGGCCCAATTCTGGAGTTCATCTAGTTAACCTATTTTTTCCAATCTACTTTTATCAGTAGCAAAGTTAATATTTTGGTTGTCTATGTGCCACTGCTTTGTTTAATTATTTATGCATATCTCAGGTGGGAAAGAAGGGTGCTGTATTGGAATCCTTAGTGACTCACAGTATACATCCCATTAGATCTGCTGTTGGCTAGATGCCCCATTAGCCACCTTCAATATAAATGAATCAAATACAAGACTATCTGTACTCTTATATTTGAAGTCCTTTAGATAAGGATTTTTTTTTCTTTTCCAAGATCATCAAACAGATACCACCTGGCTTGCCAGTAGAAGGCTCAGAAGAAATTAAGAAGTTATCCCCTCAAAAATAGCCCACTGTCCCTTCCGATAATTTTACCACTTGAACCAATACAATCAATTTATTGATCTTATAATGTCTGCACAGTCATTTGGATTTAGGATGCCCAATAGTCAGTAAATTCCACAGTGTCTGTTTACAGTCTATATTATTTATGCCAGACATATACTAATGGGTCCTTGACGCTGGCAGTAACATGACTTCCAGATTAGTGAAGCAGGAGGAGATCTGAGTGAGTGTCTCTCTCCTCTGAACTTCCATACCTGTCTATTGGATCTTCTTTTGTAAAATGCTTTGTTTTCTACCATGTGTTATGATTATTTCTGGTTTTGGCTTATCTTCTCTGATGGCCTTTTGGCAAGTCTTGTCAAGTTATATTTCCCTTTGGTCTTTGTTTCCCAGAAACAATGTAATATTTCTCAAAATTCCGTAATTATGTTGAAGAACAATAGAGAAAGTGGGGCAAAGGAAGAGATGAGGAAAACTAGGAGGGAGTGACTCTCTACAGCCATTATGAGAAACAGTCTCCATATGGAGAGGTGCAGCAGCAAGATCAAAGGCCCATGCTCACCCAGAATGTTACGTAGAGATCCTCCGTGCAAAGGCTGAGAAGCTTTTGCACATATTGGAAACATAAGCAAGCTATTGGAAGGTTATAGGGGTATCTGACTCGTGAAACCCAAGGGCAGGGCATGTAGCCTGGATGCACAAGAACATGGAACTAGCAATTGAATAGTGATGAGGAGCCAAGTCAGAAACACATTCATACAAACACTCTCTGGAACTCCAGAGTTTCTTATTTCTTCTGCTCTCTGGGTGTCTGCTTTCTTCTTTTTCCTTCTGTAGGTTGGTTTCTTCAGTTTATTCCACTTGTACCTGGCTCATCACAGTCACCTCCAAATGCCTGGCTCAGCCCTTTATTGACCTGACTGCATGAACTTGACAGAAACAAACTTATGAAGTCTCTCAAGTCCCAACCTCAAATTCACAGGAGATAGAATCCACTGTACCTCTCTCCCAGAAACCCTCCAACTCCTTTGGTCAGTGGTGTTCATCCATAATGCCATCTGGCACTGGGCAAAGAGCAGGGTCATATCTGCTTTTATTCGGAGCCTTGGTAGGAACATATTCTTGTGTAGAAATGGGCAGAAAATTATTGGTATCTTTAGTACACTTTTTGGTCCCAGAAACATGACCAAACTGAAGGATCCGCCCTGCCTAGGATGACCTTTCACATATTTGGTGAGAACTGACTGAAAAACAACATATTTGGGCTTGAAGTTAAATGGAGTTTTAAAATATGGACCTCTAGTAATGATAGTTTCTTTAGCATTTGTTTTAGGTATACACAGGTTAAAAGATAGTAACTGAGAACTTCTGCTTCTAGGAGGATGAAGTAGATACACTTTTCCTATTTCCCACTAAGTACAACTAAAGACCCAGGACATTATGTAAAAATGAACACTGGAAGACATCAAAAGGTGGAGAGAAGGCAGTACATTGGCTGGGAGCCTTATGATATGAGAAACAACACAGGTGAAGTTCCGTGAGTTTTCTGAGTTATCCCAGACATGGAACTGAAGAAGCCAGCAGCCCAGAAATATCAAAGGGCACAGACACAAAAGGCCCCCTGCAAAACTCTGGCCTCTCTATGCAAAGGACCAGGAAAGGGACAGACTAGCAGATGGAAAACTTCTAGACAATAGCTACTCTACTGCAACCAATAACACAGGAAAAATTTTGGTCCCACCCATACCTCCACCAATGAAATGGGAAGCCTAGACTTCCACACTTGCCAGGTTGTCACAGGCACCCTACACCCCCAGCTGGAGTGAGAAGACCAAATAAGGTATCAGAGGCTGCCTAGTGGGGAATCAGGACCTTCCTCAATGCCCAGCAGTAACAAAATAAACTCCTCTTTGGTGTGGGTGGAGACCACTGAAGGAGCTGAAATGCCCTTCCCTCCCCAGCAGTAATGAGGAGTGCCCATTCTCAGGCATCAAAGTAGGCTGAGTTGACAACAGGGACTTATACCTCCATTAGGTAGTAACTGAAGCAATAACTCCCTTCCTTTGCTAGAGAAAACCAGCAAAAACAATGTTTAAGTAACATTCAGAGTCTTAAAATATGAAATGATCAGATTTTACAGAAATTACTCATCATAACAAGGATTTCAGTTTTGCAGTTACTAAAAATCTAAAACCAGGAAAAAAATCCATAAATGCTCATGTGACTGTTAAAATTTTTTGGGGGGATAGCGGAGGAGAGGAGACAGTGTCTTGTTTTATCACCCAGTCTGGAGTGCAGTGGTGCAATCATAGCTCACTGCAGCCTCCAATTCCTGGGCTCAAGGAATCCTCCTGCCTCAGCCTCCTGAGCTGCTAGGACTATAGATGTTCACCACCACGCCTGGCTAATTAATTTTTGTAGAGATGGGGTCTTGAACTCCCAGCCTGAAGCAATCCTCCTGCCTTGGCCTCCCAAAGTGTTGGGATTATAGGCTTGAGCCACTGTACCTGACCACAGGTGATTTAGATTGGAGAAAAAAAAATACAGCTGATTACAATCATTTGTTATTTATTTGTTTCAGTGTCTTTGAAGAATGTTACTAGAGAGAAGCAGGTACAACCTTGTGATTATTATGCTTTGAACTTGATGCTGTGCTGAACACATAAAAAGAGCCCTCATGATGAGAGATTGGAAGGAGAATGAAAGAAAGGAAGCAAGATCATCCAGAGAACCATGAAGTAGTGACCTTCAGTGACCTTCAGTGATGAGGTGAAAAGTGTCCGGACAGGATGAGACCTGTATACTTGTAATTTTTTCTAGAAATATCTGGAAAACAAAGCAAGAGAAGTAGAAGTATTTGTAGCTTTTACTGGAGAAGATTTTTGTATTTTTCTAAGTAGATATGTTAGTTGCCCATGTTAGTAAAATTTTAAAATGTTTTAAAAGTCTTAAACATTTTTATCTCTAGTGTACATTGTTGTTGATTTTTACACAGAGTTTTGGGTAAATTTTGAACATTTTTTAAAATAGAAAAAGATGACATTCTTAAGAAAAAAAAGCACTACTAACTCCTTATTTTACATCCCCCCATCCCCTAGGTCTGGCATTCATCAGCATTCACACATCTGCAGAAGGGGTATGAGGGAGAAATGACTTCATTAATTATTGTGTCACCAAGTTTTTCTTCTCTTGATTCCTAAGAAGAAGAAACAGAGATTACATGTGTTTACTTAAGGGTAAGCACTAACTGAATGCTTACTGAGTGGCTAGATGAATATCTAAAAAAAAAAATGGTTTCTGTAGGCGTTGGATTCTGCTCAATGCTTATGCCCACCCAGAATGCTCTATAAAACCTTCACTGTTGTTCTCAGGATCAGCCTTCCTGAATTCATCCTATAAACTTTTAATGAGTGACCTGTTTGTAAAACTCCCTTCCAGATTGGCAAATACAAGTTGATAGAGAACTTCAATGCCTTTTTTCTTCTAACCTCCCTTTCCTTATACTTTCCCCTATTGAATCTTACCAGAGGGAACACACACACACACACACACACAGAGTAAACTCATCAGCCAAAAAAACTTTTAAAAAGTAAAAATAAAAAATAAAAAAATACAGGACTCAAAACAGCAGTCCACAGCATTTTTGTGCTGTGATTTCTGAGGGAAATGAATTAGGCACATTGTTTAGTTTGTTTGTTTGTTTTTGTTTTTTAACAGTATCTGCTTTTGCCTATGTGGAAGTCTTTGATGTAAAACAAAAGCTCTTGATGAAGTGCTAGAACGTACCTAATTGTTGAGGTGTAGAGATAAACTGACATATAATGATACTTGGAAACAAAGAAAGAAAGGATTGGGGTCTGTTCTATTTTGATTTAAAGTAGGCAACTAGCATGTATTAATGGCTCTTAGCTGTCTTTTAAGATAATTTTACAAATACAGAAAATGTTTTATTCACTTGTCCACACAAAGAATAGCCACTAAACCCCATCCCCATTTTATTTCTTTCTTATTGTTTATCTTTCCTCTGGAATTTATATACAAAATGTAAATTAAATTAAAATCTGAATAAACAAGAACTAAACTATAAAAAATTACTATTCATCTATGTTTAATTAGTAGATCAGCTGATATTACAACCCCCCGAATATGCATATTTATGAGGAAGAGTAGTACAATAAAAAAGGGTACTGTTTCTTTTTTTTACTGTTATTGTTCCTTCGAGACTTTTCAAATATTGAAACCTCCAGCAAACAATGCAAGTACAGTTTGTCATTAAAAAGCTATAATGCGCTAAAAAAAAGTCATTCTTTTTCCATATGCTCTTTACAGAATCAGAGTAATCATTTCAATGAGAAACTAAAGTGCTCCTCTAATTAGAAAACTTCAGTGGTCTTTTAAAAAATTCCAGCAAAATTTAACATCATTTTATAAATTTTCTAAAGAAAAAGGAAACTATTTATAACCCCATTATCTTGGTATAATGTTCATTTTGGCATGTTCCTTCCAGGCCCTTGACCACACGCACAGTTATTGTTATTTATTCAGGTAAACTTGCATTCTGTTTTTCTTAAATGTTTTATCTTAAATTCTATTTTTATACAATTGTCATAATTATCATTTGTAATCATTTTTGCAATCTCCTTTATGGGAATTTAACACATGGAAAAAATTCAACAGAAGAAAAAATATATAAAGATGTTAATGGTAGCCTTATTCAGGAAAATAGCAGGATGAGCATGTTCCTTGTCTGGCAGTGGTAAATCGTGGCCTGTACGACACTGGATGGAATATGATGTCAGTGCTTTCAACAGTAGCCAGAAGAATGAAGATTCTAATCATGGCTCTTGGTCAGCTCAAGGGCTCTGATAGTCAAGCTGAATTTCACGGGAGGTTTGATTCATCTTTCATTGCTGCCTCCTGTGTTAGGTCTCTTAACAGATTGAATTATAGAACTAGAGGAGGCCCAGGAATAGCCCAACCATTTGTGGACATTTAGAGCAAAACAAAAGTGAAACAAACCCCCATATTTGGCAGTACTACAAGTAGAAATGAGTGGACAAGTTGTAGACATTATTCTTTCCCATCAGGTTTTTCTATAAGGAAGGACTAATGTGCTGCGTTGGCTTAGGTCACCTGGCTGTGGAAACCGGCAGAGGAGATAGGTAAAGAAACAATGTGGAGAGACTGGATTAAACTGCTTTGAAATGCTGGATGCTGACAGCCTGAGTGAGGCTGGTCCAATTTAGTTCAGAATTTTCAGCTGCCTGTGCTGAGCACAAACTGCAATTGTTTCTCCAACAGAAAGAGCCAAGATTATGACTGATGGCAGGGTGTCTTTGAGTTCCGATCTATGTTCATATAAGTTGGGCAAATTGGCCAAGTCAAATTGAGGTGTTGGGTTTTCATTGGATACGGTTGGATATTGTTCCTTAGATGCTTTTCAAATATTCCATTGCACTGGAAATATGTTTAAGAAATGTTTTAACTAATGTCATTACCTTTAATAAAGACTTAAAATATGTCAAAATAAAACCCCCAACTAGAGATGGATCAGAGGGTTCATGGATAGGTTTGCTGTTCATTGATATATCATTAATAAATGTTCCATTTCACTCATTTATGGTAAGTTAAAGGAAAATATCTTATAATTTTAATGGCATACTTATTTTAAAATAAAACCTTATACAAAAATTAATTCAGGATGGATTAAAGACTTAAATGTTAGACCTAAAACCATAAAAACCTGAGAAGAAAACTTAGGCAATACCATTCAGGACATGGGCATGGGCAAGGACTTCATGTCTAAAACACCAAAAGCAATGGCAACAGAAGCCAAAATTGACAAATGGGATCTAATTAAACTAAAGAGCTTCTGCACAGCAAAAGAAACTGCCATCAGAGTAAACAGACAACCTACAGAATGGGAGAAAATTTTTGCAATATACTCATCTGACAAAGGGCTAATATCCAGAATCTACAAAGCACTCAAACAAATTTACAAGAAAAAAACAACCCCATCAACAAGTGGGCAAAGGATATGAACAGACACTTCTCAAAAGAAGACATTTGTGCAGCCAAAAGACACATGAAAAAATGCTCATCATCACTGGCCATCAGAGAAATGCAAATCAAAACCACAAAGAGATACCATGTTACACCAGTTAGAATGGTGATCATTAAAAAGTCAGGAAACAACAGGTGCTGCAGAGGATGTGGAGAAATAGGAACACTTTTACACTGTTGATGGGACTGTAAACTAGTTCAACCATTGTGGAAGTCAGTGTGGTGATTCCTCAGGGAACTAGAACTAGAAATACCATTTGACCCAGTCATCCCATTACTGGGTATATATCCAAAGGATTATAAACCATGCTGCTATAAAGACACATGCACACGTATGTTTATTGCGGCACTATTCACAATAGCAAAGACTTGGAACCAACCCAAATGTCCAACAATGATAGACTGGATTAAGCAAATGTGGCACATATACACCATGGAATATTATGCAGCCATAAAAAATGATGAGCTCATGTCCTTTGCAGGGACATGGATGAAGCTGGAAACCATCATTCTCAGCAAACTATCGCAAGGACAAAAAACCAGACACCGCATGTTCTCACTCATAGGTGGGAATAGAACAATGAGAACACACGGACACAGGAAGGGGAACATCACACACTGGGGCCTGTTGTGGGGTGGGGGGGAGGGGGGAGGGATGGCATTAGGAGATATACCTAATGTTAAATGACGAGTTATTGGGTGCAGCACACCAACATGGCACATGTATACATATGTAACTAACCTGCACGTTGTGCACATGTACCCTAAAACTTGAAGTATAATAAAAAAATAAATAAAATATCAAGAATAATTACAAACTTCTTTAGTGCAGTGAGATGATAGCCTGAAGTGTTAATCGGTGCTTTATTCCTTGGTCTTTCTTGTGACTTCCTGCCATGTGCTCCCTAGTCAGACAGCAGAGAAGGTAGTACCAACAGTTCTCAAGGTATGTTCATTATAGCAGTGCAAAGAATAACAAGTAAAGGCCTTAACTAACAAAAAAAGTCAATGTTCAGTTTCAGATTCTCAAACACACACTTGACATTCATGGCAAGGATAGTAGTGTAAGAGAAAGAGGTTTTGAGTTGTAAGAAAATTGATGTCAAAATCAGAACACTGAAGTCTATGCCAAAGACGAGAGGCATGGAATAATATTGGACAGATCCAGGTAGCCCACCTTCCTAGACTAGATAATGTTACTGCAGTTTGGGGAAACAATAGAAAAAAAGAGCCATGGTTAGAGGATGGTATGAGGGAATAAAGAACTCCATGCGCACACTTAAGGATACAGGAGTGCATTGCAACTTTGCTTTGTTCCTGGGTGGATCTAGGAGAGGGGTAAGGTTTCCAATTTTTTCCACATCATGGTGCGGGTCATAGTATCTAGGCAACATGACATGGATAACATCCAAAACATTGCCCTGTTTTTAAGATGGTCACAGAAACAGGTAGAGAAGGCTGTTGGGCCTGCAGAGCCCCAAGGTTAGCACAAGGGTGACAGAGAAATAGTTCAGGAGTGTAGACTGAAGACCAAATGGAACTGAGGTCATTGGTGGGTGTTAGCTATATAGATGTCTCACACTAGGGGCCAGTGAGAGCAAGGACCAGCAAGATATACCAGCATGGACAGATTGGGGCAGGGTGGTGGTCAGAAGTCATCTGACCACCACCCTGCCCCCATGCCTGGATATTAGAGATCCTTTTGCATCTTAGAATCAATCTCAGAGAAATGGAAAGAGAATGGGGAAAATGTTCTGAACTGGCAGAGGAAATTCTACTTGACTAGCATTAATTTTATGTCATTCATAGGATAACGGCACAAGAAAGAAATTTAGTTATGGAAAAATATATATATTTTTTATTTTAAGTTTTGGGATACATGTGCAGAATGTGCGGTTTGTTACATAGGTATACATGTGCCATGGTGGTTTGTTGCACCTACTGACCCATCCTCGAAGTTCCCTCCCCTTGCCCCACACCCCCGAAAAGGCCCTGGTGTGTGATGTTCCCCTCCCTGTGTCCATGTGTTCTCATTGTTCAACTCCCACTTATGAGTGAGAAGATGCAGTGTTTGGTTTTCTGTTCCTGTGTTAGTTTGCTGAGGATGATGGCTTCCAGCTTCATCCATGTCCCTGCAAAGGACATGATCTCATTCCTTTTTATGGCTGCATAGTATTCCATGGGGTATACGTATCACATTTTCTTATCCAGTCTATCATTAATGGGCATTTGGGTTGGTTCCATGACTTTGCTATTGTAAATAGTAATGCATATGTGTGCATGTGTCTTCATAGCAGAATGATTTATATTCCTATGTATTCCTTTGGGTATATACCTAGTAATGGGATTGCTGGGCCAAATGGTATTTCTGGTTCTAGATCCTTGGGGAATCGCCATACTGCTTTCCACAATGGTTGAAATAATTTACATTCTCACCAACAGTGTAAAAGGATTCTTATTTCTCCACAGCCTTGCCAGCATCTATTGTTTCTTGACTTTTTAATAATTACCATTCTGACTGGTGTGAAATGGTATCTGATTGTGGTTTTGATTTACATTTCTCTAATGATCAGTGAGGTTGAGCTTTTTTTCATATGTTTCTTGGTTGCATAAATGTCTTCTTTTGAGAAGTGTCTGTTCATATCCTTTGCCCACTTTTTGATGGAGTTGTTTTTTTCTTGTAATTTTATTTAAGTTCCTTGTAAATTCTGGATGTTGGACCTTTATCAGATGGGTAGAATGCAAAAACTTTCTCCCATTCTGTAGGTTGCCTGTTCACCCTGATGATAGTTTATTTTGCTGTGCAGAAGCTCTTTAGTTTAATTAGATCCCATTTGTCAATTTTGGCTTTTGTTGCAATTCCTTTGGGCATTTTCATCATGAAGTCTTTGCCCATGACTATGTCCTGAATGGTACTGCCTAGGTTTTCTTCTAGGGTTTTTATGATTTTGAGTTTAAGTCTTTAGTCCATTTTGAGTTAATTTTTGTACAAGGTGTAAGGAAGGGTCCAGTTTCAGTTTTCAGCATATGGCTAGCCAGTTTTCCCAGCACCATTTATTGAATAGGAGATCCTTTCCCCATTGCTCATTTTTGTCAGGTTTGTCAAAGATCAGATGGTCATAGATGTGTGGTTTTATTTCTGAGGTCTCTGTTTTGTTCCATTGGTCTATATGTCTGTTTTGGTACCAGTACCTTGCTGTTTTGATTACTGTAGCCTTGTAGTATAGTTTGAAGTCAGGTAGCATGATGGTTCCAGCTTTGTTCTTTTTGCTTAGGATTGTCTTGGCTATATGGGGTCTTCTTTGATTCCATATGAAATTTAAAGTAGTTTTTTCTAATTCTGTGAAGAATGTCAGTGGTAGTTTAATGGGAATAGCATTGAATCTATAAATTACTTTGGGCAGTATAGCCATTTTTACGATACTGATTCTTACTATCTGTGAGAATGGAATGTTTTTCCATTTGTTTGTGTCCTCTCTTATTTCTTTAAGCAGTGGTTTGTAGTTCTCCTTGAAGAGGTCCTTCACATCCCTTGTTAGCGGTATTCCCAGGTATTTTATTCTCTTTGTAGCAATTGTGAATGGGAGTTCATTCATGATTTGGCTCTCTGCTTGTCTATTGTTGGTGTAAAGGAATGCTTGTGATGTTTGCACATTGATTTTGTATCCCGAGACTTTGCTGAAGTTGCTTATCAGCCTAAGGAGTTTTGGGGCTGAGATGATGGGGTTTTCTAAATATGGAATCATGTCATTTGTAAACAAAGACAATTTGACTTCCTCTCTTCCTGTCTGAATACTCTTTCTTTCTCTTGCCTGATAGCCCTGGCCAGAACTTCCAATACTATGTTGAATAAGAGTGGTGATAGAGGGCATCCATGTCTTGTGCTGGTTCTTAAAGGGAATGCTTCCAGCTTTTGCTCATTAAGTATGATATTGGCTGTGGGTTTGTCATAAATAGTTCTTATTATTTTGAGATATGTTCCATCAATACCTAGTTTATTGAGAATTTCTAACATGAAGGAATGTTAAATTTTATCAAAGGCCTTTTCTGCTTATATTGAGATAATCATGTGGTTTTTGTCTTTGGTTCTGTTTATATGATGGATTACACTTATTGATTTGCATATGTTGAACTAGCCTTGCATCCCAGGGATGAAGCCAACTTGATAGCAGTGGATAAGTTTTTTGCTGTGCTGCTGCATTCATTTTTGCATCAATGTTCATGAAGTTTTCATGAACTGAAATGGCCTGAAGTTTTCTTTTTTTGTTGTGTCTCTGCCAGGTTTTGGTATCAGGATGATGCTGGCTTCATAAAATAAGTTAGGGAGGAGTCCCTCCTTTTCAATTGTTTGGAATGGTTTCAGAAGGAATGGTACCAGCTCCTCTTTGTTCCTCTGGTAGAATTCAGCTGTGAATACGTCTGGTCCTGGGCTTTTTTTGGTTGCTAAGCTATTAATTACTGCCTCAATTTCAGAACTTGTTATTGGTCTATTCAGAGATTTGACTCCTTCCTGGCTTGGGAAGATGTATGTGTCCAGGAATTTAGGTGTATGTGTCCTGGCTTGGGAGGGTGTATGTGTCCAGGAATTTATCCATTTCTTCTAGATTTTCTAGTTTATTTGCGTAGGAGTGTTTATAGTATTCTCTGATGGTAGTTTGTATTTCTGTGGGGTCACTGGTAATATCCCCATTATCATATTTTATTGTGTCTATTTGATTCTTCTCTCTTTTCTTCTACATTAGTTTAGCTAGTGGTCTATTTTGTTAATAATTTCAAAAAGCCAGCTCCTGTATTCATTGATTTTTTTGGAGGGTTTTTTCTTGTCTCTATCTCCTTCAGTTCTGCTCTGATCTTAGGTATTTCTTGCCTTCTGCTAGCTTCTGGATTAATTTGCTCTTGCTTCTCTAGTTCATTTAATTTTGATGTTAGGGTGTCTATTTGAGGTCTTTCTAGCTTTCTGATGTGGGCATTTAGTGCTATAAATTTCCCTCTACACACTGCTTTAGCTGTGTCCCAGAGATTCGGGTACGTTGTCTCTTTGTTCTCATTGGTTTCAAAGAATTTCTTGATTTCTGCCTTAATTATTTACGTAGGAGTCATTTAGGAGCATGTTGTTCAATTTCTATGTAGTTTTATGGTTTTGAGGGAGTTTCTTAATACTGAGTTCTAATTTGATTGCGCTGTGGTCTGAGAGTCTGTTAGTTATTATTTTAGGTTTTTTTTTCTGCATTTGCTGAGGAGTGTTTTCTTCCAATTATGTAGTCGATTTTAGCATAAGTGCTATGTGGCACTGAGAAGAAAGTATATTCTGTTAATTTTGGGGTGGAGAGTTCTGTAGATGTCTATTAGGTCCATTTGATCCAGAGCTGAGTTCAGGTCTTGAATATCCTTTTCAATTTTCTGTCTCATGATCTATTATTGATAGTGGGGTGTTAAAGTCTCCCACTATTATTGTGTGGGAGTCTAAGTCTCTTTGTAGGTCTCTAAGAACTTGTTTTATGAATCTGGATGCTCCTGTATTGGGTGAATATATATTTAGGATAGTTAGCTCTTCTTGTTGAATTGATCCATTGACCATTATGTAATGCCCTTCTTTGTCTTTTTTGATCTTTGTTGGTTTAAAGTCTGTTTTGTCAGAGACTAGGATTGCAACCCCTGTTTTTTATGCTTTCCATATGCTCGGTAAAATTTCCTCCATCTTTTTATTTTGAGCATATGTGTGTCTTTGCCTGTGAGATGGGTGTCCTGAATACAGCACACCAATGGGTCTTGACTCTTTATCCAATTTGCCATTCTGTGTCTTTTAAATGGGGCATTTAGTTCATTTACATTTAAAGTTAATATTGTTATGTGTGAATTTGATCCTGTCACCATGATACTATCTGGTTATTTTGCACACTGCTTGATGCACTTTCTTCATAGTGTCATTGGTCTTTATATTTTGGTGTGTTTTTGCAGTGGTTGGTACCTGTTTTTCCCTTCTGTATTTAGTGCTTCCTTCAGGAGCTCTTGTAAGGCAGGTCTGGTGTTGACAAAATCCCTCAGCATTTGCTTGTCTGAAAAGGATTTTATTTCTCCTTTACTTATGAAGCTCATTTGGCTGGATATGAAATTCTGGATGGAGTGTTTTTTCTTTAAGATTGTTGAATATTGGCTGGGCACAGTGGCTCATGCCTGTAATCCCAACACTTTGGGAGGCCGAGGCGGGTGGATCACGAGGTCAGGAGATCGAGACCATCCTGGCTAACACGGTGAAACCCCGTCTCTACTAAAAATACAAAAAATTACCCAGGCATGGTGGTGGGTGCCTGTAGTCTCAGCTACTCAGGAGGCTGAGGCAGGAGAATGGCATGAACCCGGGAGGTGGAACTTGCAGTGAGCCGAGATCGCGCCACTGCACTCCGGCCTGGGTGACAGAGCAAGACTCCATCTCAAAAAAAAAAAAAAGAATGTTGAATATTGACCCCCAATATCTTCTGACTTATAGGGTTTCTGCTGAAAGGTCCACTGTTAGTCTGATGGGCTTCCCTTTGTAGGTGACCTGGCCTTTCTCTCTGACTGCCCTTAACATTTTTTCCTGATTTCGACCTTGGAGAATCTGATGATTATGTGTCTTGGGGTTGATCTTCTCATAGAGTATCTTAGTGGTGGTCCCCATATTTCCTGAATTTGCATGTTGGCCTGTCTTGCTATGTTGGGGAATTTCTCCTGGATAATATCCTGAAGTGTGTTTTCTAGCTCATTTCCATTCTCCCTGTCTCCTTCAGGTACTCCAATCAATCATAGGTTCGGTCTTTTTATGTAGTCCCATATTTCTTGGAGGCTTTGTTCATTCCTTTTTATTATTTTTCTCTAATCTCGTCTGCATGCCTTATTTCAGCAAGGTGGTCTTCAAACTTTGATATTGTTTCTTCTGCTAGGTCAATTCAGCTATTGATACTTGTATATAGTTCCCAAAGTTCTCATGCTGTGTTTTTCAGCTCCATCAGGTTGTTTATGTTCCTCTCTAAACTGGTTATTCTAGTTAGCAGCTCCTCTAACCTTTTATCAAGTTCTTAGCTTCTTTGCACTGGGTTAGAACATGTTCTTTTAGCTCATTGGAGTTTTTTATTATCCATCTTCTGAAGCCTACTTCTGTCAATTCATCCATCTGATACTCCATTAAGTTCTGTGCCCTTGATGGAGAGACACTGTGATCATTTGAAGGAGAAGAGGCACTCTGACCTTTTGGGTTTTCAGCATTTTTTCATTGATTCTTTCTCATCTTCATTAGTTTGTCTAGTTTTGGTCTTTGAGGCCCTTGGATGCGGTTTTTCTGGGGGATTTTTGTTGTTATTGTTGAAGCTGTTGTTGTTGCCTTCTGCTTGTTTGTTTTTCTTTTAATAGTTGGATCCCTCTTCTGTAGGGCTGCTGCAGTTTGCTGGGGGTTCACTTCAGGCCCTATTTATCTGATTTGCTCCCATGCCTGGAAATGTCACTCAAGGATGCTGGAGAACAGCAAAGATGGGTGCCTGCTCCTTTTTCTTGGACCTCTGACCTCGAGGGGCACCAACCTGATACCAGTAGGATTGCTTCTGTATAAGGTGTCTGACAACTCCTGTTGGAGGGTCTCACCCAGTTGGGTGGCATGGGGAATAGGACTCATTTAATGAAGCACTTTGTCCCTTGGTGGAGGGGGTGTGCTTCGCTGGGGGAAACCCACTAGTCTGGGCTGCCCAGATTCCTCAGAACTACCAGGAGGAAAGGCTAAGTCTGCTTGTCTGCAGAGACTGTGAGCACTGTCCTTCTAGGGGCTCAGGCCCAGGGGGATCAGGGTTCTGTCCCTGAGCCTCTGGCTGGAGTTGTTGGAGCTCCTGCAGGGAGGCCCCACCCAGTGAGGATGGATGAGTCACGGTCAGGCCTAAAGAGGCGCTCTGGCCGCAGTCTGCCACAGCCAGTGTGTTGGGCTGTGGGGGACACCTCTTGGGACCAGGCCATCCAGCCTCCCTGGCTCCAGCAGGGTAAAAGCACAGCCTGGAGCTATAGAGATGGATGCCGCCCTTCCCCTGCCCAGGGAGCTTAGCAAGTTAGGCAGTTATGAGTCCCAGTGCTGGCTGCTGCCTCTGTCCCAAGGAGCTCAAACAGCTTAGACAGCAGGCAGCCACAGCTGTGGTACTGGTTGCCCCTCCCACTGGGAACTTGGCAGGCTTAAGCAGATTGTAGCTGTTGAGAATCTGTGCAGCTCCAGGGTTGGGATCCTAGGCCCCAGTGGCATGGGTTTGAGAGTGGGATATGCCAGTCCATGGGTTGCACAGTTCTATGGAAAAAGCAGTTTTCCCGGCTGGGTAGCATGCTCACTCACCACCTCCCTCCGCTGGGGGGTGGGGGCTCCCTTGCCCTGTGTGGCTGTCAGGTGGGCACCATACTGCTCTTCCTTCCTCCCTGTGGATCATGCCAGCCGCCTAGTCAGTTCTGATGAAAGAACCTGGATACCATGGTTGCCAGTGCAGGATTTACATGCTATTATGGTTCTTTTTGATGGGAGCTTCTGATTGCTACTGCTGCTGACTGCTACTCCTTCTAGTCAGCCATCTTTTCACTTTCTGGAAAAATATTTTTTACATGCCTGAATTGCAGCCTATGAGATTCAGTGTCTCTACATAGTTATTAGTGTAAAGACCTAGTCAAAAATTTATATCAGAATCTTACACATTCAAATAAAATAAAATATCTTAAAGTATATATAAAAGTTTAAATATCAACCTTTGGGGAGGAGGTTTTCACTTTATAGCTTAGTTCCATCAAGATGTAATACATTTGGAAAAGGTTCCCATTCTAATTTCAACAGTGTTCTTGTGAAATAAATGTCAGTGCTATTACAGTAGTTTTCTTGGTGGAGAAAAAAATACTGTAATGTAAAACTAAGTTTAAATGAAGACCTTGATTCAGAAGAGCCAATAGGCTACAGCTAGGTTTTGCCCTCCCCTTTCTGGGAAAATCTAAATCCTAAATACTGGGTCCCTGTAATGATGCCTCTGCATCTGTTTCTATGAGAAGAGCCTTCCCCATAAACCATGGATGTGCTATTTCAGCTGTTGTGTTTCTACAGTCCCATGGCCATAGATAATTGGCTCAAAGGTGGACAACTGACCCAAGCCAGGTCAATCTGATTTTCTCTTCTGGAAATTCAAAATGTAAAATACACAGACTAGGAGTTTTAGTAGCTGAGACGTATGTGGGGAGGTAGGAACTCATGTACTGAGGTTCCCACTGGAGTCTTGAAGCCTTGATTTTCAAAAATCTTTGAATTTCATGAGCCAGTCTAAAAATCTTTCCATTGTTTTTCCTTAAGTTAGCTACATTGGTTTTTGGTACTTAAAACTGAAAGAGTCCCAAATCATTCTTCTTACAATAATATCTTCACTTAATGAAAAGAAAGAATTGACCTTAGGCAACAAGGCCCTACTACGATGTCTTGGGTGAAATCAGATTTTGACTGGGGTGGTGGCCTCTTTCCCTGGATATACAAGACTTTTCACATCCCTCTTCAAACACATACAGAACACACATAATACAAAGTGTTCTTTCTGAAATCAGCTCACAAATGTTGATGAGCCAGACCTATACAACTTAGCCCTTATCCCAGATTATAGTTGAAAATATTCTTGAAAGCTTTTAAAATCTGATTTAGAGAACATTCATATCTGCAGATGTGTTTAGAAAATGTTCGGGTGACTTGAAAGTAAAATTAAGATTCCAGGTGCTCTTTTATGGCTTATTCCTGCCAATTCTGTAAATTGTACATTTTTTACTATTACAGAAGAAAAATAATAAAGGTGTTTTAGAGAGCACTTATGGGACAGCACATCCTCCTGCACAGCTGCTTTTTTTTTTTTTTGGTTCTCAGCTCTGTCCCCTGGAGTGACCCATCCAGACCAGTGGTCAATGCCTTGCCCATCAGGAAACCCCTCATCCCAGTCAGTCCTATTACTTTTGATTTTGTCTCTCTTTCCTTTTCCATGGATACTGTAAGTGTACTATTTAGGTAGAAGGGAACACAAATATTTTAATTATAAAGTTTTATTTATAAAATTTAAAAGCTTGCAGAATGAACTGTGAGATGCCTGGTTTTTGTCTGAGATATAAAAAGCTTGGAAGTCACCATGGTTGTCCTCACAATAAGACAAAGCTAAACAAACTGAAAGCTATCAAAACTAACAGTTCTTAGATCCGTCACAAGATTGAGGTAATGGGGCCAGATGTTGCCCACAAAATTGGAGAGACAGGCAAATACAGAGAATCATAGCTTACTGTGAGCAGAAGCCAGTATTGGGTAGGAAAACTTGAACTATAATTGACAAATTACTGGACGAACTTAAGAGTTAAACACTCTGGAGGACAAGTTTTAGGGGTTTTCCATTTTTTTGTGTGTGAATTTTACTTCCAGGAGCCCCACTGGGCTCTCAGCATGCATATTAGAGAAAAATCTGGTAGAGTGAAAGGGAGTGGCCATTTTGAAATATGCCCAGAACATTCTGTTTCTCTCAAGGGAAATTATTATACCAGAACCTAATTATCATGGGTTTCATTAGAGCCTAACTGATCTAGAGGAAGGGCAATATACAACTTCATCCCCCTCTAGCCTTTCTATTTTACCTAAAGATGAAAAAAACATTGACAAGCACTGTGAAGGTCACAGCCCAGGGACACAGGCTCACAAAGACAAGGACCTAATGAGGGGAGAAAGTTTCCCCTCTCCTATGCATTACCATGCATTACCACCACATAAATCAGGCCCCTGTATATATAATAATGGGGAATTACACCTGAACGGACTGCAAACCTCAGACTCTATTTAAGCAAGAGTCTCTAGGGAAGCCCAAAGACAGCAGAGGAGGAAAAAATGAGGACATTAGGAAAAATTTTAGCTTCTGACACCTATGTCTACAGCAAACAATTAATACAGCCTAACTCCTAGCCAGACAAACATAAAATCTCACATTAAAGACCTATTTACTTCATCACATCCAGCTATCAACAAACCATTAGGAGCTCTATGTGGCTTGGGATTCTTCCCAACATGGTGGCTCGGTTCCAAGGTTAATCATCTAGTGAGTAAGATTATATGTGTGTGTGAGAGAGAGATAGAGTGTGCAAGAGAGAGAGAGACAGAGAGAGAGAGAGGCATTGCCTCATATAATCTACCCTCAGAAGTCATGCAGCTTCATTTTTGTAACATACTATCAGTTGGGACAGTTACAAGGTCTGTGTGCTGATATCACTTTGTAAGAAGAGCATATGGGATGGGATAGATATTAAGTGTGGCCACCTTTAGAAAATACAATTTGCCAATTATGTGTCAGGACCTGTTAATACCTTTTTCTGTGCTTTAGAATATTTACTTATGTTCTTTTAGATGATTGAATATAAATTAATGGGCTGGGTGCAATGGCTCATGCCTGTAATCCCAGCACTTTGGGAGGCCTAGGCGGGCAGATCACCTGAGGTCAGGAGTTCGAGATCAGCCTGGCCAACATGGTGAAACCCTATCTCTACTAAAAATACAAAAATTAGCTGGTCGTGGTGTCGTGTGCCTGTAATCCCAGCTACCCAGGAGGCTGAGGCAGAAGAATCTCTGGAACCCGGGAGGCAGAGGCTGAAGTGAGCTGAGATTGTACCACCACACTCCAGCTTGGGTGACAGAGCAAGACTCTGTCTCAAAAAAAAAAAAAAAAAAGAAAGAAAGAAATTAAGGTTAACAATGTTCTTTTGTTTCTGTTCTTCTATATCATGTTCTCAGGAGTCTAAAAAAGCAGAATGTAATTGGTCATCTTCTTTCATGGTTCAAGATGGTTTGCTTGTTCAACAAGTATTTATTGGGCATCAGCTGCCAGGCACTAAAGCTAGGTGTGGAGGAGACAGGTGAACAAAACAGAAATGATTTCTGCCCACATTAAGGTAGTGGTCTGGTTGGTGTCAGAAGAATGCATAGCGGCCATCATTTTTGGTTGCAGAGTAAAGACAGAGTTGAAATAGTAGAATCATGGATCAGTAAGGGTATAAGGGACTTTAATGAGCACCCTCCTTCTTCCATGATGGTCCTGTAGACCAGATGTTTGACCATTCTGTTTTTAAAGCTATCCAGGATATAAAAGAGGAAGTTTCTACTGTTAAAGGCTTACTGCAATTTAAGTTCATCCCTCTCTTGTCTGTTCTTATATGAAGCTGTAGAAATGATCAGTGTCTTCCTTACAAAAACTTGTTATATATTAAGTGAATTTATTGAATCATATATTCACTTTTCCTTTTTCTAGCTAAACTTTCTCAACTTTTTGAGCTTTTTCTCATAGGGGTATTATCTATTCTTTAATTTTAATATTTCATATTTATTTTTCTGTAGGGAAACTCAAACTCCACGGATTTTGAGGAAATCTAAAAAGCCAAGGAAGTGAAAGGATAACTTTTTGGCTTACAAATGTGGCCTTTCTCTGTGGGTACACACTGCCATCAATGGCTTTTAATGTGGCACCATATTGTCTATATGTATTTCAAGTCAGGACAGTTCATTGACTCTTCTATTCCTCCTCTTTCTTATGTGGGTTCCAACTGGTGTTTCTATTTATTAGAGAGAGGGTCTTGCTCTGTTGCCCAGGATGGAATACCATGGTGCAATCATGGCTTATGGAAGCCTTGAACTCCGGAGCTCAAGCAATCCTCCCACCTCAGCCTCCTGAATAGCTGCGATTACAAGATACATGTCACCATGCCTGGCTAATTTTTTAAATTTTTTGAAGAGATGCTGGTCTCAAACTCCTAGGTTCAGGCAATCCTCCTGCTTTGGCCTCCCAAGTGTTGGGATTTATAGGTGTGAGCTACTGTACCTGGCCTTAATTGGCGTATTTAACTTTGCTCCAGTTTTCACTTTGTTCTTGAATGTCCATATTCAACCCTACTATCAGAATTAAAACCTTATTGAAAGAGGCTCTGTAATTCTATTTTCCTATTTTGATATTTAAAATATTTTAGCATCCTTTTTGACCTAGGATTGAATGTGTTGAATTTAATTTAGACAAACCAGTTCTAAACTCCCTGGACCCAGTTTCCTTCACTCAGCACATATTTATGAGTGTCTACTACATGATAGGCACTGTACAAGGTCCTAGAGATTTAATGCTCAGCAAAAATTGGCATGGTCTCTGCCTTCCCAGAGCCTACAGATTCTGGTTGGGGAGACATTAATTGAATTACAGACTTCTCAGGAAAATGCTTGCTTCATATGAGGCAGAACAGTGTGCTTACTCTTATGGAAAGATTTGAGGGTTGGGACAGAGAGCCTGATTTTTTTTGTCTAATAACTTTTTAATCTTACATCAGTTTTAGACTTACAGAAAAACTGAGAGTCATTAATAACATTCTCATATATGCAGTGCAGCACAGTTTCCCCTCTTATTAATATCTTTCATTAGTTTGGTATATTTGTTACAATTAGTGTGACTATATTGATACGTTCTAATTAACTAAAGTCCATACTCCATTCAGATTTTCTTCCTTTTTCACATAATGTTCTTTTTCTGTTCCAGGATTCCATCTAAGATACCACATTATTTATGTTCAGTCATCACGTCTTCTTAGCGCCTCTTGGCTCTTAGTTTCTCAAACTTTCTTTGGGTTTGGCGACCTTGGCACTTTTTTTTAAAATTATTATTATACTTTAAGTTATAGGGTACATGTACACAATGTGCAGGTTTGTTACATATGTATACATGTGCCATGTTGGTTTGCTGCACCCATTAACTCGTCATTTATATTAGGTATCTCTCCTAATGCTATCCCTCCCCCATCCCCCTACCCCATGACAGGCCCCGGTGTCCCGTGCCTATGTCCTGAATGGTATCGCCTAGGTTTTCTTCTAGGGTTTTTATGGTTTTAGGTCTAACATTTAAGTCTTTAATCCATCTTGAATTAATTTTTGTGTAAGGTGTAAGGAAGGGACCCAGTTTCAGCTTTCTACATGTGGCTAGCCAGTTTTCCCAGCACCATTTATTAAATAGGGAATCCTTTCCCCATTGCTTGTTTTTGTCAGGTTTGTCAAAGATCAGATGGTTATAGATGTGTGGTGTTATTTCTGAGGCCTCTGTTCTGTTCCATTGCTCTATATATCTGTTTTGGTACCAGTGCCATGCTGTTTTGGTTACTGTAGCCTTGTAGTATAGTTTGAAGTCAGGTAGTGTGATGCCTCCAGCTTTGTTCTTTTTGCTTAGGATTGTCTTGGCTATATGAGCTCTGTTTTGGTTCCATATGAACTTTAAAGTAGTTTTTTCCAATTCTGTGAAGAAAGTCATTGGTAGCTTGATGGGGATGGCATTGAATCTATATATTAGCTTGGGCAGTATGGCCGTTTTCATGATATTGATTCTTCCCATACATGAGCATGGAATGTTCTTCCATTTGTTTGTGTCCTCTTTTATTTCGTTAAGCAGCAGTTTGTAGTTCTTGAAGAGGTCCTTCACATCCCTTGTAAGTTTGATTCCTAGGTATTTTATTCTCTTTGTAGCAATTATGAATGGGAGTTCACTCATGATTTGGCTCTCTGTTTGTCGTTATTGGTGTATAGGAATGCTTATGATTTTTGCACATTGATTTTGTATCCTGAGACTTTGCTGAAGTTGCTTATCAGCTTAAGGAAATTTTGGGCTGAGATGATGGGGTTTTCTAGATATACAATCATGTCATCTGCAAACAGGGACAATTTGACTTCCTCTTTTCCTGATTGAATACACTTTATTTCTTCCTCTTGCCTGATTGCCCTGACCAGAACTTCCAACACTACGTTGAATAGGAGTAGTGAGAGACGGCATCCCTGTCTCGTGACCTTGGCACTTTTGATGAGTACTGGGCAGGTGTTTTGTAGTATGTCCCTCAATTGGAATTTGTCTGATGTTTTTCTCATGATTACTTTGAGGTTAAGAGATTTTGGGAGGAAGAACACAGAGGTCAAGCACCATTCTTATCACATCAATTCAAGGGTATATTGTTAACATGAAGCATCACTGTTGATGTTGACTTTTATTGCCTGTTTGAGATAGTGTTTGTTGGGTTTCTCCACTGTGAAATGACTTCACTTCCCAACCATAATTTGGAAGGAAGTCATTATGCAAAGCCCATACTTAAGGAGTGGAGAGTTATGTTCCACTTCCTTGAGGACACAGTAGCTCCATAACTTATTTGGTATTTTTCTTCATGGGAGATTTGTCTTTTCTCCCCTGGAAACCTGATTTTAATAACCAGCTTTGTCTTTGCTATCTATGCTACCTCTGGCAAGTCCCTTTACCTTGAGTTTGTTTCCCTATCTTTCAACTCTGTCTTCTTCACATAATTTTGTGAGATATGGTAAGGCAAAATGCTTTATGCTTTATAGAGTATGACTATATGAAGGTCTTAGTAATTGTTTCTCCTAATTCAGATTCCTTGTCCCCTCAGAGAGATCCTCTCATGGAGGCCACCTAAACAATGCCTTTCCACTGGGTATCAGGAGTACTTGAGCAGCTATTAGTGGAAGAGGAATTATGCCCTCCTCCCTAATTAAGGTAGGGTGGAGACTGGTGATTTCTGCCTTGGGGACAGACAGGCCCAAGTAAGGAGTCCTGCATTGCTTTAAATTCCTTCCCTTTCTGCTTGGTACACTCCCAATCTGGGGTGATTGCTGCGGTTAAGATTACCCAATATAGATGTTTGAAGGCTGTTAACCAGGTCAGAGGTATGAGAAAAAGAAAGGATTTTTCTAATCGGGTGCTATGAAGACAGTCTGAGGTCAGAAGCATTTTGACCCAAGGATTTCATTAACAGCCTCCTTCCCCTACCCTTTTGGGTTTACTTCTACCTCAGACTCTCTTGAGCGTATTTTTGGTTTCGGTTTTGTGCCAGTTTCTAACACCATGGCAGGTTGTGATTAGGATGACTGTCTTTATAAAAGTTACTTGAAAGTCAGGTTTGAACAAGACACTCACACGTTCTTTGCAGAGGATGTTAAGCTTGTTGACTGGAAGCCTGCCTGCCAGAACAAGATCTTCTGCACACACCAGAAACAATCTGCTATTGTCTCCAGGGGTAAAATGGTGCCAATAAAAAATGAAAACTTTTAGCCAAGAGGAGGAATACTGCATTAACTGCTTCACCACTAAAGGTAATTATGGGAAAGGATTGAGAAGGTAAAAACCTCTTTTGTTTTCAGCCTAGAAATACACACATTGCACAAATGTGGTACCCAGAGCAAAGCTGCCCTGTTACAGCAGAGTGAGTGGTTCGTTCCCCGTGCAGGAACTTGTCAGGGTTAGAGCTCTTCCTTTATTCTGAAAGTTCTTAATGATGCCAGGGGAGGAGGCTGAGTGTCCCCCACCCTGCCCCATTTCCTCTGTGCTGATCTTGGTCCCAGAAACTGTTACCTCAGGGACAATTCCATGCCAGGACTTTGGGGAAGATAGAAGAGTGTGCATAGCTTTTAGGACATCTTCAGGGAAGAGCACAAAATGCAGTGTCTATGGCAAAAACCAGGGAAAGAAAAGCAAGAGAGAAAAGACCAAAAAAAGTAAACTGAATCAGGTAATGGGGTGGCTTGTCTTAATTTTATTAATTTTTAATTTGTGGCTTAATGAGTGTGGAGGCAGAAGATAGGACAGGGAATTACAATTTTCAGAGCCCCCGTCCCATTTTCTCCCATATCCTCTGATGAATAAAAATAAAGGACTGTTGATTAAATCTAAGTGGGAACTCCATTTACTTTCTTCCCACAGTCTGTGTTGGCGTCTGACCCCCACTGTAACTCATAGGAAACACAATGGTAATATTCTGAGCCCTTATTATTCACCTACCGGGTCTGTCCTAAATTTCCCATCCTTTCACACAATTCAGCTTTACCATTAAAAAATTCAAGTTCTGGCTGGGTGCGGTGGGTCATGCCTGTAATCCCAGCACTTTGGGAGGCCAAGGTGGGCAGATCATGAGGTCAGGAGTTCGAGATCAGCATGGCCAATATGGTGAAACCCTGTCTCTACTAAAAATACAAAAATTAGCCAGGCATGGTGGTGTAGGCCTGTAGTCCCAGCTACTCAGGAGGCTGAGGCAGAAGAATCGCTTGAACTCAGGAGCTGGATGTTGCAGTGAGCCAAGATTGCACCACTGCACTCCAGCCTGGGCGACAAAGCAAGACCCCGTCTCAAAAACAAAACAAACAAACAAAATTAAAGTACTGTTCAATAATTCCAGACTCTCAGAGCTTTGAGAGGTCCTGGCTTCATGAACAATCACTAAGTAGTAAAGAAATGAACCTCTGGGCAATAGTCAAAGTTCCCTCTTGTTAAACAAGGACAGTTCAGAACAACAGCCTTGAGAGGAGAAGCTCATTCCTGAGTTACCAAAATTTCTAGCCAGGTCCACTTCCAGTTTCATGTGTTACAAATTCATCTATGATCCTTTATAAACTATCTGTGGTTGGGGGTGGGAGTGGAATTTGCCCTTGTTTTAAAGTTTGTGTCTGATCCTTTCAATATCTGAATCACTATAGTCTGGTTTGTTTCTTAATTGTCTATCTGGGTATGTCTGATAATCTTTCATGGGAGTCTGGACATTGTGTGTGGAAAATGGTAGAGGGTCTAGACAGTGTTCTGTTTCTTCAGAAAGAATGTTATTTATCTTCTGGGAGGCTGTTAGTATATCAGCAGATCACATTCATCTAATTAGGGAGCAAGCCATTTGAGGCTGTGCCTGTCTTTAAGGTTTTGACTACCTTGGGTTCACCCTATGTCTAGGGTGTAGAAAGTCTCAAATGAAACCCTAGTTTGTTTACTTGATGATATGGTTTGGCTGTGTCCCCACCCAAATTTCATCTTGAATTGTAGCTCCCATAATTCCCATGTGTTGTGGGAGGGATCCAGTGGGAGATAATTGAATTGTGGGGGTGGTTTCCCCCATACTGTTCTCTTGGTAGTGAATAAGTCTCACAAGATCTGATGATCTTATAAGGGGTTTTCCCTTTTGCTTGGCTCTCATTTCACTCTTGCCCGCCACCATATAACATGTACCTTTCATCTTCTGCCATGATCGTGAGACCTCCCCAGCCATGTAGGAACTGTGAGTCCATTAAGCCTCTTTTTCTTTATAAATTACCCCGTCTCAGGTATGTGTTTATCAGCAGCCTGAAAATGGACTAATAATACCCTTGAGCACCTCCACCTGACAAATCCCTGAATGCCATTTAAAAAAACCCCCTGGCCAGGCGTGGTGGCTCATGCCTGTAATCCCAACACTTTGGGAGGCCAAGATGGGCAGATCACCTGAAGTCAAGAGTTCAAGACCAGACTGGCTAACATGGTGAAACTTTGTCTCTACTAAAAATACAAAAAAATTAGCAGGGCATGGTGGTGTGCGCCTGTAATCCCAGCTACTCGGGAGGCTGAGGCCGGAGAATCGCTCGAACCCAGGAGGCGGAGGTTTCAGTGAGCCAAGATCGTGCCACTGCACTACAGCCTGGGTGACAGAGGGAGACTCCATTTCAAAAAAAAAAAAAAAATTCCCCCTAGCACACTGAGATTGCCAATAGCTCTGCTCAGTTTTTCAGCCACCTAGCACTTCTTGGATCAGCTTGTCTCCCTCTTGGGTTAAGCCACAAAGAAATGGATGACTGTCTCCAGAGGAATAGTAGCTTGAATATCAAAGTTATTCTCTTTCTCTCTAGAATCTTGGCTTCTCTCAACATGGGACTCTTGATAGTCTTGAACTTCAATTTCTGTTTCTCCAGCCCCATAGGGTTGCTAAAAGCTTTGCTCAGCTTCTCAGTCTCTCTGCTTAGGCTTAATTTTTTCTTCTTTCAAGGATCTTTACCCCTGAAATTTGACTACTTTTATAGTTCTTCAATGCCATTAAACAGGGTTGTGTGTTTGTGTTTGTTGTCCTTCTTTTCTAGTTTTTCTAAGACTAATAGAAGCATTGCTCTGCTATAAGTCAGAAAGCAAAGTCCTTCCCTTGTTTTAGTTACCACAGTTGGAAATATTTTATAGTTTTGCAATAGACGGAATGGTTATGTCCTCCCCCTGCCCCCTGCCCAAATTCCTATGTTGAAATCCTAACTCCCAAAGTGATGGCATTAGGAGGTGAGGCCTTTGGGAGGTGATTAGGTCATGAGAGCAGAGCACTCATAACTAATTAGAGATCATAACTAATCCCTTAGTGGGATTAGTTCCCTTATAAAAGAGATCCAGAGAGATCCCTCTTACCCTTCCACTATGTGAAGACACATGTGAAGACTGCCATCTGCCATCACCAGACAGATTTGGTGTCAGGCGAGGAAGTGAGACCTCCCTAGACTCCACACCTGTTAGCACCTTGTTCTTAGACTTCCCTCCCTCCAGAACTGTGAGAAATGAATTTCTGTTGTTTGTAAGCCACCCAGTCTAAGGTATTCCATTATAGAAGCCAGAAAAGACCAAGGCAAGTTTCCGTTCTTGTCTGCCTTGTTTCCAACCTTTAGTTTTAACCCAATGAACCAAAAATATACTTGTTCTGACTTTACTTATAATTTAAATGTAAGAGGGGTTATATTTGGGATTGTGTATGTGTTTCTAACAAACAGGAGTTTGTATTTCTTGCTTCTCCCATTGTGACTTACAGAGTAGATGCTCTAGAATAACTGGAATAAATGAATTTTGTGGTTACCATCTTACTCATGAGAAATTCCCCCTCCCTGGGAATCCAGCTGAATCACTTAGGGTGCCAGCCAGATGGAGATTTCCTGCCGGAGATAAGACAGACCATCTGCATCTCTCCTGAGGCAAAGGGGAGAGGAAGCCAAGAGACAACTCATTTCAGTTTCTTCTGCCGTCAAATGAACAGGATGACTCTAGTTGGTCTCAAAGTCCCTTCCAACACTAAGAGTCTGTGCAACTATTAGTGAACCTATTCCTCATTCTTTGGTTTCTTTTTTGAGGATTTTGTTAAAGACCATGCCACATCTGCATCTTTGTTTTTGTCAGGCCATGCCCATGCTCAGTGGCACTGTGATAAGGGAGACTTCAGTGTGGGTGGTCATTTTTGCATTAACTCTGTTCACCATGTATTAGTTTCCTAGGGCTGCCACAACAAATTACCATGAACAATTACCATAACAAATTACCATGGTGGCTTAAAACAACAGAAATGGATTCTCTCACAGCTCTAGAGGCCAGAAAGTAAATCAAGGTGTTGCAAATATTGTTTGCTTCTGGGGCCTCTAAGGAAAAACCATCCCAGGCCTTTCTCTTAGCCTCTGGTGGCTGCTGGCAATCCTTGGCCTTCCTTGGATTATAGAGGCATCATGCCAATTTCTGCCTCCATCTTCCAGTTGACTTATTCTCTGTGTGTCTCTCTGTGTCTGCTCCTCTTATAAGGACACCAGTCATTGGATTTAGGGCCCTAAATCCAGGGTGACTTAATCAAGATCCTTAGCTAGTTATATTGACAAAGACCAGTATTCCCAAATAAGACCACATTCTGAGGTTCTGAGTGGACATGACTTTTTGAGTTACACTTTTCAACTTACTGTAACCACCAACATCAATCTTAAAACAATAAGCTTTATGAGGGCAGGAATCGTGTCTGCCTTATTCACTACAGGATTCTCAATGCCTAGTACATTCAAGGCACTTAATATTTAAAAAATGATTGAAGTTGAAATGATAGGAACTCATTACATGTTGCCAGAGACATTCAAATTAAGATGTCATTCATGGGCCAATCTGGGATGCTTGTTCTTAGAGTTTTCGATATATTTATATAAGCTCCTATGCCTCATTGGATAGATGGAAATGTAACCTACCATTGAAAACAGTATTACTTTGTAATCTACTTTTGAAAAACTTATCCTTAAATTCTTACTTTTACTTTCTCTCTTCTTCTCTTTCTTTGGTTTCTTCCTTTTTTATTTTCTGTTGGATTACCAGCTACTAGTCCTCTGTTTTCTTCTTAGTTCTTTTTTCAATTCCTCATAATTGTCCTTTTAAAAGGCATGAGCCTAGAATGATGTTCATGTATGTGTATGTATGTGTGTATATATATACACATACTAGTATTATATATAAATTATATGTATAAAATATTAGTACATATTACTAATACGTATTAGTCATATATATATGTATACATGTATATATAATGACTTAAATAAGACTTAAATATTATTTAAGTCTTGTACACTTAAATAAGATTTAGACCAAAGGAGTCTGAAACATTTGGGCAGAATCTGAGAAAAGAGGATGATACTTAATTAGCCATTTTATAGTTTATCTGAAGAAAGGAGAAGCAGTTCATTTTGTATTTTAAATGAGTTATAAGATGAAAAGAATTTCATGTTTTCCAGCATACAGTCTTTTAAGGTAATACTGTCTGCATCTTTTCCAACTATTAAACTAGGACATAATGAGTGAGATGACATTATACATAATAAGCTGCTAGTCATCCAACTAAGAAATCCTTTCTCACGCCATTTCCTGCAGAGTGAGATTGTATGGATGCCTGCAAGTATCTAAACTTGCTGCACTGTTTGAACATCCCTATTACCTTTCCGAGCCTCAGATCTAGTGCTTTGATTTGTTCTCTCAAGCTCCTTAAAGCTTCTTCTATGCCACTTTGGATGGTATTTAGGAATCTTGATGAATATGTTCATTATCTAATACAAAGTGACATAAAAAACTCCTGCCATGAACTCTGCCACATAACCATACCCTGCTGAACTCCTGTGATTCATTCGGTACTAGATTAATAGCATTTATGTTATTCACATATCTCTGTTGACCTTGATCTGCTAGAAACTCCCTCCTTTTTATCTCTGTTCCATACTGGGGAGGTTTTGTCCCACATTAACAATGGTTCTTTTGTACATCAAAGCGCACCCCCCCTCAATATCCCAAGTTTTAATTTTCCTTGCATGCATAATATGTATCTCTCTTCTGTTCACTGTCTGTTACTTCTTACCTATGTTTAATTGATGGATAATGGAATTTTCTACTCATTTTGCAAAAGAAAAGCACTTAAAATTAACCTTTTAGTATCTGAATAAAAAAGACTGCAGTTTTGTGAATAAAAATGTTCACAGAAATGATTTTTCCTTCTCTTTTACAAATTTAAAAAGTACAGACTAGACACTTAAGCAGAAATCTAGTCTCATATACTTCCATTTTCCTAGCATCTTTCAAATAACAGTATTTATTTGTCTTGGAAAACAAAAGTTTTAACCAAACTGTAATATCCCTATTTTGGATGGAGTATTAAAAAATTGTATATATTATACACACAATTTTTCTATGAGTAACAATAAAGACATTGAATAAAGGTTTGTGGGCAATAACTGAGTTAAATTCAGTGAATCAATTCTGCCGTACGTTTTAGGAAACTTCACTGAAAGGCACTTGCAGAAAGGCAAACAAACAAAATCAACAACAAAATCTAAAAATTAAAACCTCATAACCTAGGAATCATTTTGTAACATGTGTCTTCCCTATTCTCAACAAGACATCTTAAATGTAAAGCATCCCCCTTTGGTTACGTTTACGTTCAATTAGCTTATTTTTTTTTGTAATCAGTGAATACTAATCTGGTATTTAGTAGTTCCATGTAAAATACTTGTAACTCAGTTTTCCAGCAATTACTGTAGTGGCACCAGTTGGTAAATAAAAGCTTTTTAAAACTTCTCTCATGGAGTCTGATTCAGAGTGTTCGAGCAGCCTCTTGTTTTTACTTGAATTCAAATCTTCATTTAATGTATTTATTGTTCTGGTATATTACTTCTGTGAGAAGGTAGCTCATAGCTATTATTGATGGCAAGGTGTGTAATGAGAATTAGCTACCTTACGTGGTTTTGAATTATCCAAATTTTCAAACTTTAGTGTGTATAAATGTCACCTGGGCAGCTATTTAAAAGTGCAGATTCTTGAGTTTTCCCCATTTTGAGAAATGCTGACTTTGTGGATCTGGGGGTAAGGACCCAAGTATGTGTTTTAAGAAAGCAGCCCTGTTGATTCCAATGTGCTTGACTACAGACCACACTTTGAGAAGCACTGTTCTAAAATATGATGGAGCCAAGAGCTTAGTTCTATTGCTGATGGGCTTAGAATAGGAAGGTTTGAAGGATGCAGTGGAACTGCTTCCTCAATGCATAAAGTTGAATCTAGAAACAAAAATGTATAAACTATATAAACTAAGAAGAAGAAATACTTCACAGACTTGGCTTTTAATACTTTGCCAAAAGCAGGAAGAGGGAACTCTTGAATAAATTGATTTAGAAAGTGATATGGAGTAATGAGTCTTGTTGGATGTAGGACTGATAGGTTATTTTCTTCTTTACCTCAACTGTGCTGATTTAAAATGAGCTGGGCCCCATGATTACTCATGCAAATAAATAGAACAGGCTAAAATTGCTCCATGGGACTGAAATTATTCACCCAACAATTTGTACTTGTTTTTGTTTCTTTAAGTCTTCCCATAATTGTGCTACAGGGATACTTTATAAATGAAATGTTTCAAATCAGTTTTTAAACAGTTTTTAAATTTCTCCATGATAAATTGCTCATTTCCCCAGATAAATAGGTATGGGGATATTCATAGTCTGCATTAACATAGTTAGTGTAGAAAGTACTTTTAAAAATTAGGTCATATAGTTAATTGTTTCTATCTACATTTGTCTTTAGTTAATTAAGTGAGAAAATACGTGTGAAAGGACCTAACGGAATCTGGTACATGTTAAATACTTGTATCCAATTGCCCATTTAACATCTTCTCTTGCGTACCTTGCAGCATGTCAAACTCAACATAAGCTATATTGAACCATCTTTTCTGTCTCTTTTGTAAACCACCCAGTTATTCAAGCCAGAACCTTTGTTTCATCTTTTAACATCTCCTTGTTCATCTCCCCTCCAAATTCTGTTGACTTTGTAAATATGTCTTAAACCACACACTTCATTCATTCACTGCTTTTGGAATAAAGCAGTGAACCAAACAGTTTTGTCTCATACAAAGTTTTTAGGTAGGTTATGAGTGATCCTCCTCATGTCCCAAGAGCTTGGTACCTATAAAGAACAGAAAGGGTGAGTGTGCAAGAGGAACGGGGCCAGAACACAAAGAGCTCTTTAGGCCATGTTAAGAATTCTGAAATTTTATCCTAAGTACAATGGGAGAGGCTTGAAGAGTTTTGATTATGGGAGTGACACGATCAGATCTATGTTTTACAAAAATTGCTCCCTTCTATGTCTCTCCAACCCCATTTATCATAATACGAAGCCTGATCACAACATCTGACCTCAGGAGTATTACATCTGGTCTCCTTGCCTTATTCCTTTCCCAAACACATACTCCACATTGCAACCAGACAAAGGAAACAGAACAAACAAAACCCCTAGAAATCTGATTACATACTCTCCTGTTTCAAATCTTTTAATGACTTCCCAATGCCCTTAGGATAAAATCCAAATCCCTTGATAGGGTTCTGAGGCTTATGGTTAATGTTGACCTTTCTAGCCTCTTCACTCAACACTTTCCCTCTCTCACACTCCAGGTACACTGAAGTTCTTTCAGTTACCCTAACGAACTGTGGTCTCTGTCACTCAGACCTTGCTGTTCTCCATGCCTGGGCACCAACCCTGTCTAGCTCTGTTTGGGCTGGCAAATTTGCTAAGCTTCACTTGGCTCGAAGTGATTTTTTCTAACCCTTGACTATGTGAGGTCCCTGCAAATAATCTTTTCCAGTTGCAACATTGATTACATTTCTGCTAGACTTAAGCTCTACCAATGTCCTGTCCTGGTCATTTCTTCAACCACAGATCCTTGCACAGTGCCTGCCACCTGGCAGGTTCTCAGTACACATCTGCCTAATGAATGATTGAACAGTACCTATTAGCTTTCTTCTAAAGAGGTCCTTGGGAAAAGGAATACTTTTGTTCATAATGACACATCTGTTTTGAGTTTATATGACAAATATCAGTAGAGTTGAAAATAAAGGTAACTGAGTTAAAATTTAGACAGGGATGTGGGATCTGATAGATGAGGCAAATGAGAAAGGACAGACAAATGGAAAGTTATGTCTATTCTAAATGAGTGATACTAATTGTTATACACAATTTTATCGGTTGTATAAGGTTTCACTTATTCCTTTCACAATCATAATATTTGAAAAATGTTTTATATTTTATAAAATGCTTTTTATACATATGATCCTTGTATCTTAACAACCCTATACTATTATTATCCTACTATAAATTAGAAAATTGAGGCCTAGCAATTGTGTCTGGAATTGGTAGGTTCTTGGTCTCACTGACTTCAAGAATGAAGCCGCAGACCCTGGCAGTGAGTGTTACAGTTCTTAAAGGCGGCGTGTCGGAGTTTGCTCCTTCTGATGTTCAGATGTGTTTGGAGTTTCTTCCTTCTGGTGGGTTCGTGGTCTCGCTGGCTCAGGAGTGAAGCTGCAGACCTTCGCGGTGAGTGTTACAGCTCTTAAGGTGGCGCAACTGGAGTTGTTCGTTCCTCCCGGTGGGCTCGTGATCTCGCTGGCTTCAGGAGTGAAGCTGCAGACCTTCACGGTGAGTGTTACAGAGTGAGCAGCAGCGAGATTTATTGCAAAGAGCTAAAGAACAAAACTTCCACAGTGTGGAAAGGGACCCGAGCGAGTTGCCACTGCTGGTTCGGGCAGCCTGCTCTTATTCTTATCTGGCCCCACCCATGTCCTGCTGATTGGTAGAGCCCAGTGGTTTGTTTTGACAGGGTGCTGATTGGTGCGTTTACAATCCCTGAGCTAGACACAAAGGTTCTCCACGTCCCCACCAGATTAGTTAGCTACAGAGTATTGACACAAAGGTTCTCCAAGGCCCCACCAGAGTAGCTAGATACAGAGTGTCGATGGGTGCATTCACAAACCCTGAGCTAGACACAGGGTGCTGATTGGTGTGTTTACAAACCTTGAGCTAGAGACAGAGTGCCAATTGGTGTATTTACAATCCCTGAGCTAGACATAAAGGTTCTCCAAGGCCCCACCAGACTCAGGAGCCCAGCTGGCTTCACCCAGTAGATCCCGCACTGGGGCTGCAGGTGGAGCTGCCTGCCAGTCCCGTGCCATGCGCCTGCACTCCTCAGCCGTTGGGTTGTCGATGGGACTGGGCGCAGTGGAGCAGGGGATGGCGCTCGTCGAGGAGGCTCGGGCCGCACAGGAGCCCACGGAGAGGGTGGGAGGCTCAGGCATGGCGGGCTGCAGTTCCCGAGCCCTGCCCCGTGGGAAAGCAGCTAAGGCCCAGCGAGAAATTGAGCGCAGCGCCGGTGGGCTGGCACTGCTGGGAGACCCAGTACACCTTCTGCAGCCGCCAGCCCGGGTGCTAAGCCCCTCATTGCCCAGGGCCGGCAGGGCCGGCCGGCTGCTCCGAGTGCGGGGCCCGCCAAGCCCACGCCCACCCGGAACTCCAGCTGGCCCGCAAGCGCAGCGCGCAGCTCAGGTTCCCGCTCGCTCCTCTCCCTCCACACCTCCCTGCAAGCTGAGGGAGCGGGCTCCGGCCTTGGCCAGCCCAGAAAGGGGCTCCCACAGTGCAGCGGTGGGCTGAAGGGCTCCCCAAGTGCCGCCAAAGTGGGAGCCTAGGCAGAGGAGGCACAGAGAGCGAGCGTGGGCTGTGAGGACTGCCAGCACGCTGCCACCTCTCACAATGATGCAAAGTGACTCCTCAGCAGTAAGTGGCAAATTGGGACTTGAACTCATTTCCTGACTACAAATCCCACCCTCTTTAGCTATAGCACATTCCCTCTCTAAACATCTGAAAGCAAAATAATAATAATAATAAGTTATTTCTGGGCATGGTTTTATGTACAAAATTATTTAATCCATTAAAAGTTGAAAACAAATGGGAGGAAAAGATAGACAATGGGAAAATGACTGTTATGGCGAGGAATCAAACCAGTTTCTGAAATATTAGCCTGCAGAAGCAGTAACAGTAGTGCAATGGTGTGCTACACCTAACTGGGATTCTCATTAAGCAGGCTGACCACCTGAGGAAGAAGAGCCTCGTGGAGGGAGGCTTCCAGTTGCTGTCACCATTTGCGTTGAACAGTCAATCAATAGTGATGATGAGATTCTACAAGACATTTAGGCAGGCTAAAAGAAAAATAAAAGGCAGAGGTTAAAAAACAAAACAAAACAAAAATTAAGAAATAAAGCCCTGATGAAACTTCTAACCTATGGGGGAAATGGATAAGCCCTTTAAACCTCTACCAGCATAAGAATAGCTAAGACTTAATTAAGAACAGATGATTTAATGAAGCGTCTATGCCAGTGGTCCTCAACCTTGGCTGCACATTAGAATCACCTGAGGAACTTAAAATAGTCTGCCATCCAGACAGCAGCCCACACCAATTTAATTAGAATCTTCGAAGGTGGAGCCCAGGCATCAGTAATTTGAAAAAACTCCTCAGGTGATTCCAATGTTTGAGGCAAAGTTAAAGTGTAAGAAACATGGCCCAGAATACTCTTCTTTTGCTAATTCAACAGGAGTTATCCCAATCTTAGTTTTATGACCCCCTTATGCTGTGTTTCTGATTATTTTAAGAAGTGCTGAAAAAGTTTCTAAATATTGAGCTGAAAATTCATCTGGATCTGCCTTAATTAGATGAGCACACTACAATGGCCAGTGTCCACTAGAGCACCCATAAAAGCCCAGCACAGGGCTAAGGGCTTTATCTAAATTATCATCCTGTTCCATGATCTGTGAACTGAGATTTAAATAACTATATTACCTGCCTAAAGTCATACAACTGGTAAAGGGTGGCAGAGACTGCTATGGTTTGAATGTGGTGTCCCCCCCAAAATTCATGTTGAAACCTAACCATCAAGGTGATGGTATTGGAAGGTGGGGCCTCTGGGAGGTGATAGACCCTGAGAGCTCCTCCCTTGTAAATAAATTAGGAAACTTATAAAAAGGGCTTGCAGGAATGAGTTCACCTTTTTTTTTTTTTCTGCTTTTTTTCCAAGTGAAGGTGCGGTGTTCCTACCCTCCAGAGGAAGCAGCATCAGGGTGTTGTGTTGGACCCCTGCAAACTTCAGTAGGGATGGCACCAGGTTCAAGAGGCTGAAGAAGAGACCCAGAGCCAGCAAACAAGACATAGAGTCTTACTGGGACGGTCCAGTGGTGGCAGGACCGATCCACCATACAGGAACGGTCCAGTGGTGGCAGGACCGATCCACCATACAGGAACGGTCCAGTGGTGGCAGGCTAGACAGGAGACCCACAACCACTTGCAAAAAGCATGCAGTTGATACAGCACCTTCACTCAGAACCCTCCCCAGCAACCTCCATGTGGTAACCCTCATCTTATAAGTAACATTATTAGTCAGGTGAATCTAGCATGCAGGGTCATTCTCAGGGTATGCTTAAATTATTGCTGTCAGGTGCATCTACCATACACAAGGCACCATCTTGAGAGTGGAGACTTGGCCCTCACCAAACAATTGAACCTGCTGGCACCTAGATCTTGGAACTACCCGTCTTCAGAACTGTGAGTAAAAAATTTCTGCTCTTTATAAAAATTACCCAGTCTTAGGTATTCTGTTATATCAGCACAAATGAATTGGAACTTGTCTGCTTGATTTTTTTTTTTTTTTTGAGACGGAATCTCACCGTGTCGCCTGTCTGCCTGATTTTATAGTCACCAGCCTGTAAACCACTCTGTATAATCACTGGGCAAGAGATGATATTAACAGCAAATGATGTATCTGCAAATGTTGGGACGTGCTGGAATTCATACTAGAGATAATGTATTGTAGGCTTTGGTTTTATTTCTACTACTGCTTTCAAAACCTATAAAATTTGAATTTTTATGCTTTAGTTTTTTAATTAAAAATGGGCAACAATGCTTTTTACAACTTTTATGTTTTTTTTCACACGTACATGCCCATGTAACAAAATTCATAGAATTCAAAGGGGGTATTTAGTGAAAAGTAAATCTTCTATTTTCTTCTATCCCCCAGCTACTCAGTTCACCCAGAGGCAGTGGTTTGGGATATTTTATTGCATTCCAATAAGGAAAACGGAATGACTGTTGCTGGCATAGTCTCTTCAAGATTAATCTCCTGGGGCTGGGGAAAGGATTAGTGAAACTAGTCTGTTGGCCAAATAGAAGACAAGCCACAGTATCTGCCATGGTTTGAATAATCTGTTACTTATTTAGTAAAATGCACTATTGATGGCACTTTCTAAACTTTTGCTACAGTGAATATCTTTGTATAAATGTAATTTTGTAAGTATTTCTGTAAGATAAATGTTTAGAGGTGGAATGCCTGGGTGAAAAGTATGTGCACTAAAATTAAAAAAAAAATTTCAACTTTTATTTCAGACTCAGGGAGTATATGTGCTAGTTTGTTACCTGGGTATACTGCATGATGCGGAGGTTTGGGGTATGGTTGATCCTGTAACCCAGGTACTGAGCATAGTACCCAATAGTTATTCAACCCTTTTCCCTCTTTGTCCCTCTCTCCTCCAGTAGTCCCCAGTGTCTATTGTTGCCATCTTTATGTCTGTGACTACCCAGTGTTTAGCTCCCACTTATAAGTGAGGACATGTGGTATTTGGTTCTCTGTTTCTGCATTAATTCACTTAGGATAATGACCTCCAGCTGCATTCATGTTGCTACAAAAGACATTTCATTCTTTTTCATGGCTGTGTAGTATTCTATGGGGTATTCCATGGTGCATATGTACTACACTTTATCCAATCCACCACTGATGGACACCTAGATTGGTTCTGTGTCTTTGCTATTGTGAACAGTGCTGCAACGAACATACAAGTGCATGTATCTTTATAATAGAATGGTTTATATTCCTTTGGGTGTATACCTAGTAATGGAATTGCTGGGTCAAATAGTAGTTCTGTTTTTAGCTCTTTGAGGAACCATCATACTGATTTCAACAATGGTTGAACTAATTTATACTCCCTCCAATAGTGTATAAGCATCCCTTTTTCTCCACAACCTCACCAGCACTTGTTATTTTTTGACTTTTTATTAATAGCCATTCTGACTGGTGTGAGATGGTATCTCATTGTGGTTTTGATTTGCATTTCTCTGATTAGTGATGTGGAGCATTTTAATACTGTTTATAATAACTGTAGCTTTATAATTGATTTAATCCCTAGGAAGGCTAATGTCCCCTGACCACCATTATCATTTCAGAAATTTTGTGGTTATCTTTACTGTTTTAATTTTAAATTTTTATTTGCTTTTTCATCAGTTTATCAAATTAAAAAAATCCTTGTGTATCATTATTAGAATTAAGTTAAATTTATAACACGGAAATCCTAGTTGACATTTTGCCTTTCTATCAAAGGGAACAGTATATGTACTTTCCACCTTTCTCTCCTAGTTTTTGTTTTTAAACTAAAGAATGTTTGATTCTCTTTCTCAGGGGAAATTTGTCTTTAGGAAATAGAAAAAATATATACCTTTTTTTTGGTTTTGGTCTTTAGATTTGGCTAAAATATTCACCCTGAACTCATTCACCGATTTTATGATGAAATTATAATGGGAAAAAAAAGTTTGCTTTTATAAAGTTCTGTGAGTAGTTGGTCTTGAATCACAGCAATGCCAAATCTCCTTTTTCAGTGTTTTGCAAGTTCTTCTAGGGTATCCTATGGCTGTTTGCCAGGGATTAATATACCTTATTGTGGCTTAGGACTTCAATAGCAATGGTGAGGTCCCCAGATCAAGCACCACCAAGGCACACAGCATGTTTACATTTCCTAATCAGCCTCACTCTCATGCCAACATTCAAAGAGGACAAACTAAACAAATACTTATTAACTTGTTTAAATCTTGTCTTAAATTCTGCATGTGAAACCTGAACCTTCCTGAAATCAACTCCCTAGGTAACAAAAACATCCTTATCAATGTTGGGCATGTGCTATAATCATAGTGTCATTGTTTGGAGAAGAACGTAGATTATGGCCAAATATCCCTTTCAGTTTGTGAGGAGCCACCGTGCAAATCTTATGAAACAGTTCTGACTTCTCTGCATGCTCTGACTTGCCATGAAATAAAGTACTTCCTCTCACAGCTAACCAAACTTTCTTCATTCCTCACTGCTTTAAGATTTAAGAGTGGCTGTTTCTAAGAGGTGTAATTTAAAATTATTATGCATTATACATCAGAGTTTTAATTGAAATTACTCCTGTTTGCAGCTGTTAGGCCAGTACCTCTATTCTAGGGATCAGTATTTTTTCTATTTTATATATAAACATATATAAATATCGATTGTACTTTGGGGATGAATGGAAAATTAAAGGTTAATGTAAATTAACTTTATTTCATGCAAACATTTAACTTGAGAAAAACATCCTGAAATGTATTTGAAACTTTCTCATTTCTTGCTGTGGAGCTGCACAGCATCCAGTCAGGGCCCATGGCAGCGTTAGAAGTCAAGATGAGCTTCATGCCCACATAAAAGTGGAAGTGGAGGGTACTGGCTGCTCTTAATTTAGTTAATGCAGCACACGTTCAGGGAACTTATTCTACTATCTGTCTATTAATTTGGCCAGCTCTTAAGTGTTCTTGTTTGTTTTGTTTTGATTTGTTTTTTGTTCCGATTTGTTTTTTATTCCTTCAGGAAGAATCAGAAAGAAAGAGTGATTGTTTTGGTGACTTGGTTTCAAATCCAAAATAAAACTGAGGTATGGACTAGAGAGGGATGGGTGAAGATCATACTGTGGTTAGTGTGTTCAGAAGGCAGTGATGTCTGAGCAGATGCATGAATTCCTGAAAGGGAGTCAGCCACACGAAGAGCTGGGGAGGAAGGGGTTTTAGGCAGAGGAATAGTTAGGGAGAAGGCCCTAAGGTAGAGTCAAGCTTAGTGTATTCAAAGGACAGGAAGGCAGCCAAAGTGTCTGGCACCTGGAGTACAAAGGTGAGAGGAGTCGGAGATGAAGTTCAAGAATAGATGTGGTGTGCAGGTGGCTCCTGGTGATTCCACCTCCTGGGATTCATGCCCTTGTGTAATCTCCTCCCTTATCTCTGAGCTGGACTTGGTGACTCTCTTTTAACAAATGGCATATGGCAAAAGTGATGCAATATCACTCTGGGATTAGTTTATAAAAAACTAAGACTTTTTGCTCTCTCCCTGTGTTAGTCTGTTCTCATGCTGCTAATAAGACATACCCAAGACTGAGTAATTTATGAAGGAAAGAGGTTTAATGGACTCACAGTTCTGTATGGCTGGGGAGGCCTCAGACACTCAATCTCTGACCTTCCTCTGTTTTTATCTCCATGTGGATATATTATCTACAATCATGGTGGAGGGCAAACGAGAAGCAAAGGCACATCTTACATGGTGGCAGGGAAGAGAGCTTGTGTAGGGGAACTCCCATTTATAAAACCATCAGATCTCGTGAGACTTATTCACTAGTATGAGAACAGTATGGGGCAAACTGCCCTCATGATTCAAGTATCTCCACCTTGCCCTGCCCTTGACATGTGGGGATTATTACAATGCAAGGTGAGATTTGGGTGGGGACAAAAAGACAAACTATATGATTCCGCCATGGCCTTTCTCAAATTTCATGTTCTCACATTTCAAAACCAATCATGCCTTCCCAACAGTCTCCCAAAATCTTAACTCAAAAGTCCACAGTCCAAAGTCTCATGTGAGATAAGGCAAGTTCCTTTAGCCTATGATCCTGTAAACCCAAAAGCAAGTTAGTTACTTCCTAGATACAATGGGGATATAGGCATTGGGTAAATACACCCATTCCAAATAGGAGAATTTGGCCAAAACTGAGGGGCTACAGGCCCCACACAAGTCTGAAATCCAGTGGGGAAACCAAATCTAAAGTTCTGAAATGATCTCCTTTGACTTCATGTCTCATATCCAGGTCACGCCGATGTAAGAGGTGGGCTCCCACAACCTTGGGCAGCTCTGCCCCTGTGGCTTTGCAGGGTACAGCCCCCTCGTGGCTGCTTGCACAGGCTGGTGTTGAGTGTCTGGCTTTCCAGGTGCATGGTGTAAGCTGTCGATGGATCTACCATTCTGGGGTCTGGAGGACAGTGGCCCCCTTCTCACAGCTCCGCTAGGCAGTGCCCCAGTCGGGACTCTGTGTGGAGGCTGCAACCCCACATTTCTATTTTTTAATTAATTTTTTTTATTTTCATACGTTATTGGGGGAACAGGTGGTGTTTGGTTACATGAGTAAGTTCTTTAGTGGTGATTTGTGAGATTTTGGTGCACCCATTACTCAAGCAGTACACACTGCACTTAAATTGTGGTCTTTTATCCCTCACCCCTTCCCATCCTTTCCCCCTGAGTCCCCAAAGTCCATTGTGTCTTTCTTACGCCTTTGCATCCTCATAGCTTAGCTCTCACATATGGGTGAGAACATACGATGTTAGATTTTCCATTCCTGAGTTACTTCACTTAGAATAATAGTCTCCAGTCTCATTCATTGCTTTTTGTGGCTGAGTTTTATTCTATCACATATATATATATATATGTGTATGAACTCAAACAAATTGGCAAGAAAATATATATATATATGTGTATATATATATATGTATATATATATATATACATATGTATATATATGTGTATATATATATATACATATGTATATATATATGTCACAGTTTCTTTACTCATTGATTGATGGGCATTTTGGTTGATTCCACATTTTTGCAACTGCAAATTGTGCTGTTATAAACATGCATGTGCAAGAATCTTTTTCATATAATGACTTGTTTTCCTCTGGGTAGAAACCCAGTAGTGGGATTGCTGGATCAAATGGTAGTTCTACTTAAGGAATCTCCACACTGTTTTTCATAGTGGTTGTACTAGTTTACATTCCCACCAGCAGTGTAGAAATGTTCCCTGTTCACTGCATCCATGCCAACATCTATTTTTTTTTATTTTTTGATTATGGCCATTCTTGCAGGAGTAAGATTGTATCACACTGTGGTTTTGATTTGCATTTCCCTGATCATTAGTGATGTTAAACATTTTTTCATATGTTTGTTGGCCATTTGTGTATCTTCTTTTGGGAATTGTCTATTCATGTCCTTAGCCCATGTTTTAATGGGATTGTTTTGTTTTCTTGCTTATTTGTTTTTGAGTTCATTGTAGATTCTGGATGTTAGTCCTTCATCAGCTGTATAGATTGTGAAGATTTTCTCCCACTCTGTGGATTGTCTGTTTACTCTGCTGACTGTTCCTTTTGCTGTGCAAAAGCTCTCTGGTTTAATGAAGTCCACCTATTTTTATTTTATTGCATTCACTTTTGGGTTCTTGGTCATGAAATCCTTGCCTAAGCCAATGTATAGAAGGGTTTTTCCAATGTTGTCTTCTAAAATTTATAGTTTCAGGTCTTAGATTTAAGTCCTTAATCCATTTTGAGGTAATTTTTGTATAAGGTGAGAGATGAGGATCCAGTTTCATTCTCCTACATGTGGCTTCCAATTATCCCAGCACTGTTTGTTGAATAGGGTGTCCTTTCCCCACTTTGTTTTTGTTTGCTTTGTTAAAGATCAGTTGGCTGTAAGTATTAGGGTTTACTTCTGTGTTCTCTATTCTATTCTGTTGGTATATGTGCCTATTTTTATGCCAATACCATGCTGCTTTGGTGACTATGGCCTCATAGTACAGTTTGAAATCAGGTAGTGTGATGCCTCCAGATTTGTTCTTTTTGCTTAGTCTTGCTTTGGCTATGCAGGGTGTTTTTTTTAGTACCATATGAATTTTAGGATTTTTTTTCTAATCTGTGAAGAATGATGGTGGTATTTTAATGGGAATTGCATTGAATTTGTCAACTGCTTTTGGCAGTATAGTCATTTCCACAATATTGATTCTACCCATCCATGAGCATGGGATGTGTTTCCATTTGCTTGTGTCATCTATGATTTCTTTCAGTGGTGTTTTGTTGTTTTCCTTGTAGAGGTCTTTCACCTCCTTAGTTAAGTATATTCCTAAGTATTTTATTTTTATTGTGGCTGTTGTAAAGGGGTTGAGTTCTTGATTTGATTCTCTGTTTGGCCACTGTTGGTGTATAGAAGAGCTACTGATTTGTGTACATTGATTTTTGTATCCAGAAACTGCCGAATTCTTTGATCAGTTCTAGGAGCTTTCTGGAGTAGTCTTTAGGGTTTTCTAGGTAAACAATAAATCATCAGCAAACAGTTTGACTTCCTCTTTACCGATTTGGATGCCCTTTATTTCTTTCTCTTGTCTGATTGCTCTGGCTAGGACTTCCAGTGCTACATTGAAGAGTAGTGGTGAGAGTGGGCATCCTTGTCTTGTTTTAGTTCTCAGAGGGATACTTTTAACTTTTCCCTATTCAGTATTATGTTGGCTGTGGGTTTGTCATAGATCGCTTTTATTACATTGAAGTATGTCCCTCGTATGCCAATTTTGCTGAGAGTTTTAATCATAAAGCGATGTGGAATTTTGTCGAGTGTTTTTTCTGCATCTATTGAGATGATCATGTGATTTGTGGTTTTGATTCTGTTTATGTGGTGTGTCACATTTATTGACTTGCATATGTTAAACCATCCCTGCATCCCCACTTGATCATGGTGGATTATCTTTTTGATATGTTGTTGGATTTGGTTAGCTAGTATTTTGTTAAGGATTTTAGCATCTGTGTTCATCAGGGATATTGGTATGTAGTTTTCCTTTTTTTGGTTATGTCCTTTCCTGGTTTTAGTATTAGGGTGATACTGGCTTCATAGAATGATTTAGGGAGGGTTTCCTCTTTCTCTGTCTTGTGGAATAGTGTCAATAGGATTGGTACCAATTCTTCTTTGAATGTCTGGTAGAATTCTGCTGTAAATCCATCTGGTCCTGGACTTTTTTTGTTGGTAATTTTTTTTATTACCATTTCATTCTTGCTGCTTGTTATTGGTCTGTTCATAGCATCTAATTCTTCCTGATTTAAGCTAGGAAGTTTATATCTTTTCAGGAATTTATCCATCTCCTCTAGGTTTTCTAGTTTATGCAGATAAAGGTGTTCATAGTAGTCTTGAATATTATTTTATATTTCTGTGGTGTCAGTTGTAATATCTCCCATTCCATTTCTAATTGAGCTTATTTGGATTTTCTCTCTTCTTGGTTAATATTGCTAATGGTCTATCAATTTTATTTCTCTTTTCAAAGAGCCACCTTTTGCTTCATTTATATTTTGTATTTTTTTGTTTCAATTTCATTTAGTTCTGCTCTGATCTTGGTTATTTCCTTTACTTTGCTGGGTTTGGGTTTGGTTTGCTCTTGGTTTCTCTAGTTTCTTGAGGTGTGACCTTAAATTGTCTGTGCTCTTTCAGACTTTTTGATGCAGCCATTTAGGGCTATGAACTTTACTCTTAGCACCACCTTTGCTGTATCCCAGAGGTTTTTTTATAGGTTGTATCACTATTGTCATTGAGTTTAAATAGTTTTTTAATTTCCATCTTGATTTCATTTTTGACCCAGTGCTCAATCAGGAGCATGTTATTTAATTTCTGTGTATTTGCATGATTTGAAGTTTCCTTTTGGAGTTGATTTTCAGTTTTATTCCACTGTGGTCTGAGAGTGCTTGATATAATTTCAATTTTCTTGAAATTTTTTAGGCTCATTTTGTGGCCTATCCTATGGTCTATCTTGGAGAAAGTTCCATGCATTGTTGAATAGAATGTATATTCTGCAGTTGTTGGGTAGAATGTTCTGTAAATATCTGTTAACTCCATTTGTTCCAAGGTATAGTTTAAATCCATTGTTTCTTTGTTGACCTTGTCTTGATGACCTGTCTAGTGCCATTAGTGGAGTATTAAAGTCCCCTCCTATTATTCTGTTGCTGTCTATCTCATTTCTTAGGTCTATTAGTAATTGCTTTATAAATTTGGGAGCTCCAATGTTAGGTGCATATATATTTAGGATTGTGATATTTTCCTATTGGACAAGGCCTTTTATCATTATATAATGACCCTCTTTGTCTTTTTAAACTGCTGTTGTTTTAAAGTTTGTTTTGTCTAATGTTAGAATAGCTACCCCTGCTTGCTTTTGATGTCCCTTTGCATGGAATGTATTTTTCCATCCCTTTATCTTAAGTTTATATGAATCCTTATGTGTGAGGCATGTCTCTTAAAGGCAGCAGATAGTTGGTTTGTGAATTCTTATCCATTCTGCAATTCTGTATCTTTTAAGTAGAGCATTTAGGCTATTTACATTCAATATCAGTATTGAGGTGTGAGGTACCATTCCACTCATCATGCTATTGGTTGCCTGTATACCTTTTTTTTAATTGTATTTTTGTTTTATAGGTCCTGTGAGATTTATGCTTTAAAGAGGTTCTGTTTTGATGTGTTTCCAGGATTTGTTTCAAGATTTAGAGGTCATTTTAGTAGTTCTTGTGGTGCTGGCTTAGTAGTGGCACATCCTCTCAATATTTGTTTGTCTGAAAAAGACTGCATCTTTCCTTCATTTATGAAGTTTAGTTTCACTGGGTACAAAATTCTTGGATGATAATTGTTTTGTCTGAGGAGGCTGAAGATAGGGCCCCAATCCCTTCTAGCTTGTAGGGTTTCTGCTGAGAAATCTGCTGTTAATCTTACAGGTTTTTCTTTATAGGTTACCTGGTGTTTTTGCCTCACAGCTCTTAAGATTCTTTCCTTTGTCTTAACTTTATATAACAGATGGAAGTGTGCCTAGGCGATGATCTTTTTGTGATGAATTTCCCAGGTGTTCTTTGAGGTTCTTGTATTTGGAAGTTTTAGTTCTCTAGCAAGGCAGGGGAAGACTTCTCAATCAGTTCAAGTTGTTATAAAGTTCAATTGGAGGTTTTCTTCTCCCTGTGGCCTTTCCCCAGTGCCTCTGGAAGCCATCCTTAAGGACGCCTGTGAGGTGAGGCAGAAATGGCTTGCTAGAGGACCCAGAAGGCCCACAGGGATTTTTCCACTGCTTCCTCTACCCCTGTATTTCACTCAGCTCTCTAAATCAACTCAGCTTCAGGTAACATCAGAATCTTCTCCTGTAGTCTACACCTTCAAGTTCCCCAGTGAGAGTGTGTGTTCAGGAGTGGACAATATCCCTTTTTCACTTCCACTGTTTGAGCACTCAAAGCATTTGGGATGTCTCCTGGGTCCTGCAGGAGCAATCTGCTTCCTTCAGAGGGTCTGTGTGTTCTCTTGGCTTTCCTAATGTATTCCTGCAGTTGCTCTGCAGTCAAAGTTCATGCTGAAAGCCTCCATGTGCTGTTCTGTGCACCTGAGTGGGAGCTTAAATCTAGTCCTGCCTCCCATCTGCCATGATCTCTCCATCTAGAAGTTAGTTTTGCAGGCTGGGAAGTCCAAGATCAAGAGGTTAGCATATTTGGTTTCTAGTGAGGGCTCAGTCTCTGCTTCATAAATGGCACCTTGTAGCTATGTCCTCCCATGGGGAAAGGACCAACCCCACATTTCCCTTCCATACAGCCCTAACAGAGGTTCTTCATGAGGCCAGCCCACCTCCCCCCACCCCGTGCCCCACAGCAAACTTCTGCCTGTACATCCAAGAGTTTCCATACATCCTCTGAAATCTAGGCAGAGGTTCCAAAACCTCAATTCTTGATTTCTGTATATCTGCAGGCTCAACACCACATGGAAGCTGCCAAGGCTTGGGGCTTGTACCCTCTGAAGTCATGGCCTGAGTGGTACCTTGTCCCTTTTAGCATGGATGGAGCAGCTGGAACACAGGGCACCAACTCCCTAGGCTGTACACAGTGGTGGGCCCTGGGCCTGACCCATGAAACCAGTTTTTCCTCCTAGGCCTCCGGGCCTGTGATGGGAGGGGCTGCCATGAAGGTCTCTGATGTGCCCTGGATACATTTTCCCCATTGTTTTGGCGATTAACATTTGGCTCCTCATTATTTATGCAAATTCCTGCAGCTGGCTTGGATTTCTTCTCAGAAAATGGCTTTTTCTTTTCTATCACATCATCAGTTTGCAAATTTTTGAACTTTTATGCTCTGCTTCATTTTTAAACACAAATTCCAATTGTAAACCATATCTTTGTGAATACATAAAACTGAATGATTTTAATAGCACCCAAGTCATCTCTTGAACACTTTGCTGCTTAAAAATTTCTTTTGCCAGATGCCCTAACTCATCTCTCTCAAGTTCAAAGTTCCACACATTTCTAGGGCAGGGGCAAAATGCTAAAGGATTTTGCTAAAATGTTATGCTCTTTGCTAAAGCATAACAAGGGTCACTTTTACTCCAGTTCCCAATAAGTTCCTCTTTTCCATCTGAGACCACCTCAACCTGGACTTTATTGTTCATATCATTGTCAATATTTTGGTCAAAACTATTCAACAAGTCTCTAGGAAGTTCCAAATTTTCCTACTTTTTTTGTCTTATTCCGAGCACTTAGAACTGTTCCAACCTCTACCTGTTACCCAGTTCCAAAGTCATTTCCACAATTTTGGAACAGCAGCTCCCCACTCTTTCGATACTACTTTACTGTATTAGTCTGTTCTCATGCTGCTAACAAAGACATACCTGAGACTGGTTTATTTATAAAGGAACGAGGTTTAATGGATTCACAGTTCCACATGACTGGGGGTGGTCTCACAATCATGGTGGAAGGCAGAGGAGAAGCAGAGGCACATCTTACATGCCAGCAGGGAAGAGAGCTTATGCAGGGAAACTTCCATTTATAAATCCATCACATCTTGTGAGACTTATTTACTATCATGAGAATAGTATGAGAGAAACCACCCCCATGATTCAATTATCTCCACCTGACCCTGCCCTTGAAATATGGGGATTATTGACATTCAAGGTGAGATTTGGGTGGGGACACTGTCAGACTGTATCATTGGCTTTTTGTCTCTCTTTTTGGCTCGCCCCTTCTGGTGAAGCAAGCTGCAATGTTTTGAGATGCTCTATGGAGAGATCTGTGATCTATATCCAAGGAACTAGACGTGGCCTTTGGCCAATAGCCAGTGAATAATGAGGCCCTCACACATACAGCCCACAATGAACTGAATCCTATGAACTACCGCATGAGTGAGTTTGGAACAGGATCTCCCTAAGTTGAGCACTGAGATGACTTGCAGCCCTATGCAATTGCTTGAATGACACCCTGACACAGAGGACCCAGTTAAGCTGTCTTTGGATTTCTTATTTACAGAAACTGTGAAATAATAGATGTTGTCATTTCAAGTCACTATGTTTTGGGGTAATTTGTTATACAGTAATAGATAAATAATACAGATAGGTAGGGTCAGATCATATTGAGATTTATGGGCTATGGTAAGGAGTTTGTATTCTCATTACAGTATAGGGAAGGATATGACCACATTTTAAAAGATCACTTTGACAGCTGTGTGGGGGAACTAACAGCACAGAGGCAAGAGTAGAAGTGGAAGGACTAACTAGGAGGCCCTCACAGAAGTATGTTTGGACATAGTGCTCATATAACTCACTGGGTATTGGATGTAGGGGATAAAGGAAACAGAAGAATTACAGTTGATTTCTATGATTTTGGCTTGATTAACTGGATAGATGAATGAGCCATTTGCTGAGATAAGGTTAGAGGAAGAATTAAGTTGGGGTAGATATGGAAATATTCATGTTGAAGATAATATATCCAGATGGAGATGTAAATAGGGAAAAGTCAGAGGTTCAGACATGCCTGAGTATGTCTGGAAGATGGGTGGGGCAGTTCTTTGGGTGAATCTACTTACATGAGTGCTCAGAAGCCTCTTGAGAAAGAACTAGCCTAGCCTAAGAGAAGTCAAGGTGCTTTATTTGTTTGAAAGAAAAGAAGCCAAAGTTAGGGTTGGTAAGCCTGTGTATACCACCTCATCTTCTAGCTTAGGCCACATGTCCTAGGGTAAGGGGGATACAATAACAGCCTCAATAAAAATAAAAATAAACACTTTCAATAACATCTCCATTGATTCAACATTTATCAGTCCAAGGGACAGAAGTTCTGCAGAAATGGGAGATGGTGGTCCTGGAACAGACATCAGCACTTATGATATGAGGCAGCCTTGACTTGCATATTGATGGGTCTAAGCAATGTTATTGGTGGTGTTGTCAACCACTGGTGATGACCACTTCTGAGAGCTGCAGTAACATGGCTGCCACTTTTGTCCTCAGTAGTGATAGGAGCTATCACTGCAGAAACAGGAGAGGAAATGGTGGATGCCTCATTTTAGCCAAGAAGGCCCTTCTTGGGAATTTTCTTTTGTTTAGGAATTTGAAATGGGCTGAGCTTTCTCAACTGGGATGGAATTGGACTTTTATCAGGAACCAATTTCTACCCTTAGGACATGTTCTCTAGAAAACAGGGGATGTAGAAGAGTCATTAAAGGAAAAAAAACTTCTATATTTGTTGAAAAATTGTCAAGAACATTAACTCTTGAAGCATACAACGTACATATATAAAATCCTAGATGATATTAATACTATTTACTATTTAGACAAGCAATTGATGTGCTTTATGCTTTGAATGTTTATGTTCAAAAGAACATCATAGGTAAGTGTGTCTATTTTCATCCTACTTCTCAGGAAAATCATGGATACGTTTTACTCTCAGTTATGTTTATACCTATGGTTGACACATTTGCTTTCTCCTCAATTATTAGTTTTTATTTTATAACCTCATTTCTTAACCTTGTTAAGATTCTTTTACTGTATGCCCTTTCAAGTTTTTCTTCTTCCAAGAAAAATGAGGGTGTTAAATAAAACATTTTAGGGTGACTCAATATTGAATTATAAATATCCTTAGTATTTTTTAATACCATGCAATATGGCATAAATTTTGTTTTCATATGTCACTCTTTAGTTTTAAATACTTGTCATTTCTAAACAGGAAAAAAAAGAGATTCAAACTATTGAACTCCTTTTTGTCTTTGACCTCCCTGCTGCCTCTGCCTTTTTTTTTTTTTTCAAATATAAAGGTTTGGAACATTGAGCTTCTTGAGAGCTAACTGCTTTGAGAAAAAATTTGCAGCCTAGGGGAGGTTAGTTTTTTTTTTTTTTTGAATGAGAAAGTTAACTGAGTAGAAAGAGTATAAAAATATTAGCAAATGTGCTCCAAATATTTGCTCTAATATACTCAAAATAAAATTTTTCTTTAATGCTGATTTCTATTTTTTCCATACTACCCGTTTTTAAAATTATAGCACATATTATCTTTCTTGAACACAGCATTTATTACTTCTGAATTTATTACTTCTGATATGATTCATGAATTAATGACCAGCAAACTTGATAGTGTAGAAAAAAATATTATATATTAAAATTTCAGATGTGATAAGATGAAATTACGAATAGGGTTGATACACATTGTATTATGCCACTACTTATTGAGAAAAAAATCTTCTGAATCCTTACCTACTATTATATTTTTCTGTTGAAATTAATCTTATATATAGTTCAACATTTAGAAAAACTGATGAGAACTGAAAAGCCTGGAAAGAGATTCTTCTGTTAAAATTAGATGATGCTGTGGGATCTCTTTCTAGTTGGTATTCCTAGACCTGACCCTAAGGTTTAATTAGGGTGAATCAGTTAATGCCTAGAAATGTTCAAATGAGTTACCTACTGCTTGAAAACGAAGAATTGGCCATATATTCACCTCTTTAGGGGTGTTAAGTTTTGAACACTGGAGCACTAGTTTTTCAAGTGGAACACTATCACTTGAATTTGCAATCTGACATTTATACTCTGCTAATCTACCTTCAGGGAAAACGTGTCAGTCCGTTTAGGTGGCAGAATTAGAGACAGCCTTAAAAAGCAATCAGATTCTTATATGATCATTCCTTCTCTATCAAGAATAAAATCAATCTCAACTTTTAGTAGGTACATATACTTAGCATGCATTGTTATTCCTGGCCTCATTTGATATGTTTACTAGTTAGCTGACTTTTACATTACTAATCCAATATCTATGCCACTTTTTTGGTATTATCTGCTTTTATGTGAAATGATATAAGAAATTACCCCCATAACCAAGAATATAAGTAAAATAAAAGAGGTTGGGTTTATCACCCTAAAATATAAATATTTAATAACATTTAAATTTATTTACTTTTTCGGAGTTAAGTGCTAATTTCAAATAGCATCATAAAATGGCATTACATTATGAAAATAATAAGGTGCTTGCAGGTGCCAACCTGCACCTAACAGAATACCCTACACATAGTAGAGGCTCAGTAAAAACTTATGGGGTAATTTAATATGTCTGACTTGAGATTTGACAACGAACACAATTTTGAAAGTTAATTTTTTTTAATTTGTGTTCATTCAACAAATTCTTTTTGATAGATTTACCTCAATAACTAGGGATGTAGCTGGCCTCAGGGATTTCAAAGACTAAAACAGTGTTGTTAGGTCTGTCTCTCTGTTCATCCTGCTCTGTTTCTCTCTGCTGGTTGGCACATTCTCCCTATTTCAGACGAACTTCCTTCATGTGGTGAGAGCAGGAGTTCATGGCCATAAGCTGCTTTAAGTTAGGGACCCAAAGGGAAGAGGGATCTCCTCCCTTTATAGAGCCTATTTATAGCATCCCGGAGAAGGACTGTGTTCCTATTGGTCTGGCTGGGATCATGTGTCTATCCTTGGCCCAGGTATAATGGCCAAGGAGATGCATTGCTAGCCAGGGCTGGGCCACATACCCACCTTTGTGCCTAAGGGTATAAATTATTGTAATTAGCAGTTAGAGACACATAGAGTATAGGGGGAAGGTGAGGAGATGGTGGTAGTTCACCAAAAGAAGTAGGAGTGTTGTTACAAGAAGAATGTTGAAAGTCCATCTAGGTAGACAAAACAGGTATCTCTGACACATGTTCCTGTTTGTTGGGGTCTGAGCTAGATAGTGGTCTTTCTACTGTGTGTGCACTCAGTAAAGTGGGGGAGAAAAATATGAACGGTGACAAATGGCAAAGGGGAAAGTTCTGGGGCGGGGGGGCAGGCCCAAAATGCCACAGCCCAGAGGACATATTTTGCTTGGGGAAGCCTAGAATCCCTTCTCAGAGATGGTGACATGAAGAGTGGATGGGAGTTTCCAGGGGGTGTGTGTGTGTGTGTGTGTGTGTGTATGTGTGTGTGTAGCATTCAATACACGTTTGTTGGCTGCATGAATAAAAGAATGATAAAATAGCATTTGAGGCAGAGAATCAGCTTATACAAAGGCAAAGGCTGTGAATGGCTGTCATATTGGGGAATGGTGAGAAAGTCATTTGGTCTGTCCTTTTAAATGAGAGGTATTTGGGCCAGGGACAGTGGCTCATGTCTGTAATCACAGAACTTTGGGAGGCTGAGGCAGGAGGATCTTTTGAAGCCAGGGGTTTGAGACCAGCCAGGGCAACATAGTGAGGGCCTGTCTTTACAAAAATATTAGCCATGCATGGTGGCACCTGCCTGTAGTCCTGGCTACTTGGGAAGCTAAGGCAGGAGGATCGCTTGAGCCCAGGAATTTCAGGCTGCAGTGAGCTATGATCATGCCACTGTACTCCAGCCTGGGCCACAGAGTGATAGATACCCTGTCTCTAAAACAAACAAATAAATAAATAAATAGACAGAGAGATAGATATTGAAAGAGAAGGTAACAGGAAGAGCTGAGTCTTGAGGGCTTACGAGATCCATTGATTTATTCAACAACTATTTACTGAGCACCTATGTAATGTGGCAGGCACATATAATAAAAATAATCTAAAACAATTGCATTGAATGTTATTCAGTATGCGATAAGAGGAGTGACATGATCAGAAATGAGTTTCAAAAGATAATTTTGGCAACAATGTATGAATGTACCTTACAAAGGAAAAGTAAGATACTTGTTCATTTATTTTTTCTGTGATTTATTTATTCCACTCTGATGTGCCCACTTCTTGAGTCTTTTAATTCCTTCCTCACCACCTGCCTTGATAACTCTGGCATTTCTATTTCATTTAGTGAGGGCTATCTTTTTCTCCAAGCTTCCCGGAGCCACCCTACCAATGCGTTTGGATTGTCTCCCTGGATCCTTGCCAACGTGGTAAGTTCTATGTCACAGGAGTGCTGCTGTGACATAAACTCTTCCCTGTCCAGTTTACGTTCTGCTCCTGGTGATCTAGTACTCTTAGGCTCCAGTCCTTTGTGTACTGTTCTGGTTTCTGTGGGACCTCTTGGGGTCTTGTGGCAATATTAAGGTATAATCCCTTTGTTTTCTTAGCAGACCCAATACTACTTCAGTGGGATTATAGTTTGACTTGGTTATTGGTCTGGTGGCCAGGAGGTGGGAGTAGATCAAGAGTGCCCTGTGTATTCATGTGTGTGTGTGTGTGTTTAATATTATAAGGCAGAAGTCTCTTAATACTTTTTAAGAAACGAGAGGGTCACTAGACTTTAACTGGGAGGAGTGGGCCACTTCTGCAGGCTCAAAGGGCTCAGGAAAAATTGAGGATATAAGATTTTTGAATGTATCAATGCAGATATCCCATGTTTTAACTTCCCGCTACTTCCCAGTCAGGGCTCTGATCTTGGTGTAGCAAATGAGTCAAAGTTGAGAGTACAACTTCCCCTGGAGCTCTGCTAGTCTTAAATTAAGTCGTGAGTCTAACCCTCCCAAGTTTTTCTTACCCAATGATATGATTTGGCTCTGTGTCCCCACCCAAATCTCACGTTGAATTGTAATCCCCAGTGTTGCAGGTGGGACCTGGTGGGAGGTGATTGGAACATGGGGATGGTTTCTGATGGTTTAGCACCATTCCCCTGGTTCTGTCTTATGATAGAGTTCTCACGAGATCTGGTGGTTTGAAAGTGTGTAGCACACCCCATACCCCTCTTTGCTCTCTTCCTCCTGCTCCAGCCATTTAGATGTGCCTCCTTCCTTTTTGCCTTGTGCCATGATTGTAAGTTTCCTGAGGCCTTCCCAGCCATGCTTCCTGTATAGCCTGTGGAACCACAAGCCAATTAAACCTCTTTTCTTTATAAATTACCCAGTTGCAGGTAGTTCTTTATAGCAGTGTGAGAACGAACTGATACGGCATCTGGTTGTAAAAAATGAGAATCTCTTTATATACTACCTAGGAAGGGCCCCCTCTACCCTGCTTGAATAATTATACTTTAATTAATGATTACTCACTCTCAGCTATTTACTGTCTTTCCCCAAAACATCAGTTGATCCTACCAACATGAACTACAAATCCCTGCTATGCTGCATCAGGCCATGCATTCCCTTCCACTGGTACACAGGTCTAGCTCTCCACTGAGGAAAATTTTGACAATTGAACTGTTACTTATGCCAGGGGCTCTCTGTGCTCCCCCTACTACTAATGAAGGGGTCCTGTGAGCTGGCCAGCTATTGATACAGCTGATACAACATCCCACTTCAGAGTCTGCTTCCTTGGACCAACATCTGAGACAGATTTGGGTGAAATAACTTTATCAAAAAGTGCATGAGTTCAACATCTAGGGTGACTAGGAAGCAGGATTGTACCCAGAAGTTGAACTACAATGCACTTGCAACAAAGCCCTCAATCAACCCTGAGGCCTGTAATGCCTTTGATTGACCAGTCATTAGAAGCAAGGAGTGGGTGAGGGAGCTGTCTTTAATGCAGGACAATGCCTGGAGATGGATGCGGCTGAGAATGGTTGGCCACCAATGCACACAACAACTGGGGAGTAAATTCTCGAGCAGGATCTGGGCTAGCATTTGGGACCTTCAAGCATTCAGTGGGCATGGAGAGGTGGGGCAGGTCTTCCCTTTCTAGTGAGTTTAGTCTTCATCCTGTGGAAGGAGGTACAGGAATCACAAGTAGGCTGATTATCCTAACAATAAGATTGTTAAAGGGATAAAGAATGTGCAGAAAAGATGTAGAGAAGAAATTGCCTTTTCTTTTGAACAAAAGGTGGGGAGTTCTCAACATTGAGTATGTTCAGTAAATTGGTCTGGCTTTTTAAAAGCTAGCTATAGCAAACACTTTATTTAAAAGTTTCCTACAGAAAAATAATAACTTTTTCAATGAGTTTGATATTCTGTACATTATGAGTTCCTTCTTTTTAGACTCTGGCTGAAAGAGTAGCTTTTATAATGTGATTTTTGAAAACAAGAAGTTTCACAGGCACACAAAGCCTGCTTCTTAGGAGTAAGTGAAGATACCATGCACAGACTCTAAAGAGTGCTAATTTTTCTTCTCTGATAGGACTAAAACTTACTTGGTACATGTGTAAAGAAGAGATCATTCATAATTTGTAGGGTTTTTGGAGAAAGCAAGATGTCTGCATTACTGGTGGCATTTCTTCTATATGTAATATTAATTTTTTGCTAAGTCATTTTGTTGCCTTGTTTTTTTTCTGACAAACTCTGATTATAACAAAACAATCCCCCAAACCTTACTTTATTCACATAATTTTGTATACTTCTTATTTTTATATACTTTTTTGTTATATTAAAATATAAACTTAGGCACATTAAAATTTATGGAGTTTATTTGAGCAGACTGATTTATGAATTGGGCAGCTCCAAACAGACCACATGTGGCTGGAGGCTCTGCCCAAGGGGAATGAGGGGAAGGCTTTTATAGGGTGAACATGGAAGCAAAGCAAACAGTATTTGATTGGTCATAGTGGAGCAGTAGCCTTATTTGGATCATTTCAGTGGAAAGTCCCTAGTTAGAGGTTAGTTGACAGTTTCTGCTTGGTTAAGCTTAAATTTTGTTTTACTGTTTATACTGAGTCGGGTTTCAATTTGATTACATGGGAACCCAGGGTGCAGGAGCCACCTCAGTCTGATGACCTCCCAATTAATTATTTTAACAGTTATTATTGCCTACTTTTAAAGATGAGGACACTGAGGCTCTTAGGAATTAAATGAATTGCCAGATTCCACAATTCTGCCTCCCAGGGCCTGTGACCTTTTCTAATACTACAAGACCTGGGATTTATTTGTAGTCTCTTGCAGCCAGATAACTCAGCAGTTTACCTATAATTCAGAAGCAGAAGAAGGGGGAGGAGAGGGTGGAGGACAGAGAGTGTGAGCCCTTCTGAAATGAATCCAATTACATGGCATAAAAGAAGTTTCATTCTGCCGTGGGCAGTGAAACACCTTGGACCCACCCTGGATATCGAAAGGGAGAAAAAGACCAAAGGGATGTGAAGAATTCAAGAGATTTACCCCAGGGTAGGGAAGTGATTCTGATGAAATGGCACCTGAAAACCACATTTGTTCTGGGAGCCTGAGACCAGGAAAGATGTAGACATTTTCTTGGAAAAAGTTCAAACAAGAAGTCAGGAAGATGATTGAGGGGTTGAAGGCACTGACTTAGGAGGACAGGTTAAAGGAATTAAATAGGTTCACCTTGGCTTAGAGAAAGCAAAGATAGACCTTGATAACCATGTGCAATTATTTGGATGTCTAAATATCAAGGAAGGTAAAGTGCTACTTGGGGTAGAACAAAGGAGTATAATTACATGAAAATTAAGACAATGAAAAGCTGGAGTATGAAACAATTCATGTTTACAAGAAAGTTCACAGCAGGTCTATTATCAACTTTGTGGTGTTAAAGGACCATTTTACAATAGACAAAAACTGCAGTACATAGTTTCATTACCTCAAAAATATTCTTGTTGTTATGCTGTAAATTGTATTGAACTTGAATTCAGATATTAGCTATGAAAAATGCTATGGGATTGTACTACACAGATTACATCATCATTCAGCTGGGCACCAGGGACACTCCTTTTGCCATTTATTCCCGGCCTGCAAGTGACCCAAGGTGACAGGAAAGGCCCTGGACATCCCCTCCAGGAAAGAGGTTCAGTGACCAAAGAGGGTAGCTGAACACCAGAGGACACCTGGAGTGGTCAGTGCAGGGGCAGGGGCTGGGCAGGGGCTGGGCAGGGGCTGGGCAGGGTTGTGGTTTACTCTTATGTTCCGTGATGAAGAAGCTATGAATGTCAAACACATACTGTGCCCTTGATTTGAAGAACCTTGGTTTGAATAACCTTGGTTTTAGGATTCTGTCTTTGACTCTTCTGCTATTTTAAAGTGTTTGTACTCTTTGTGCGTTTTATGCTGCTTTTGTAAGCTGGTCAGAAAATGCTTATATTTGATAAATATTTGCATTCCTTAATTACTTATAAAGTATTTTGAAATAGTATATGGAATTCCTAATATATACTTATTTTCACCCATACCCTTGTAGCTTAAGTGTTGATTTACTTTTGGGAGGAATGTCCCTGTTGAGACAGAGCAGGGACCCCTCTTAGGGGCTTGTTGGCCCCCCAAAACAGGGTAATAAAGGAAAATCTTGAGCTCCCTTGAGGGAAATTCCAGGCATCTAGCTAGCCTTGAAAAGTAAACAAGCAACCTCATAAGTAAGAAGGTAATAGTAACTTAAAACAATCACCAAGGAGGTTAGAGTCAGGAGATGTTTTGTTCCCTATAGAAACTAAAGCTAACATGTTAATCATGTCACTGAGTTGTTTTTCAGAATCCAGACCCACACCAAATAGATCCACTGGCACGTAGACCTCAGATAAGGGGAAACTAAGGACTGAACTCTGACCTTTGCTTTTTGTTCTTAATTTCTTCCTGAGGGACCTGGAGGAGGTCATGCCTACAAGCCAGAGCTAACATTCTTTTCTGCTGATCCCAAGTTTTTAGACAAAGCTTTGCGTCCTTAACCAATGATGAATCAGAAAGTCTTTGAAGTCTACTTATGATCTGGGGGTCCCCACTTCTAGATGTCCTGTCTTTTTAGGTCAAATTAATGTTTAGCTTCCATGTATTGACTTATGACTTTGCCTGTAACCTCTGCCTCTCTGCTTTTAAAAATTCTTACCTGTATGCTATCAGGGAGTTTGAGTTTTAAGTGTGAGATGCCCAATTCTCCTTGATTGGCATCTTGCAATAAATGCCTCACTTTATTTCACGGCTTTCCTGATGTCAGTGTTTGGCTTTGCTGCACCAGGTACACGGGCCCCAGTTCTGTTCAATAACACCGTCGTGAAGCATTCATTCCTTTTTTTTTATTTTCAAATTCTTGTGGACCAATACTTTTTAGAATACAATTATGAGAAAAATGAAATTAAAAACCTCTAAGATGTACAAACTACAAATTCTTGATTTATTTATTTTTATATTTAACAGGGAAAATTTTGCGTCGTAAATTGTTACAAAATTTCTCAGCACTTAACAGTTCCGTGCTCCACACAAAAGTGCTTGGTTCTACTTTGGATTCTGCCAGTTCCTGATCATGTTGCCTTGGGCAACACATTTACCCAACTAGAGCATGAATTTCCTTGTCCCTGAAATGGACATAACAATTCCTGTCCCTTAGGCATGGTGAACATCATGGGGCAGGAAGGAAGGGGGCTTGGCTTGTAACTAGTGAGATGCTAATTACACAGGACAGAGGGTGTGGGCGAAGTGGATCCTATGGGTGTGATGTAACTGAGCAAGTTCTTTTTCATTCATGGCAAACAAGTCAGTTGTTTATCCAGTTATATTTCTTACATTTAAGGAACTGTCTTAAATTCTGAACTATTTAATTTTGAATGTTTTTCTTTTAGGAATTTTTTTCATATTTTACTGGCCAGGGACCCACTGATGTAGGTCTCAAGAAGTTATATGTATCAGAATAACTTTGGAGCTTCGTCAAGTTATTCACATTGACCCCTTGCCCCAGATTTGACATATCCCCCTTTTCCCAGGCTGGGATCTACTTTTTCTAAGTTAATACATTGTGTGTCTTCCCCAGGATTTTGGCAGGTATCCCATAGTACATATCAAAACATGAAAGGGGTAAAAGAATGGGGGCAGGGCAAAGTTGTATAGCTTTGAAATTTCTCACGGGACATTCTGATACCCCAGCCTTCAACCCTCATTTGAAGACAGTTCTTCTCTACATAGTGTTAGGAGGGCTTACAAGTAATTTTCAGGGACTCACGTTAACTTAAGAAGTACAGGTGTTAGTAGCATGAGTACCTACAGATTGATTGGGGAAATAAGCTGGGGACAACTAAGTAATATGGAGGCCATCTATGTAGCCTGAACTATCATTGCGTGTTAAAGTAACAGATTCACCATCATTAAGATTTAGGCAAGAGGAAGACATGCTTAGCTTTCAATGGGCAGGAACCTGCTAAGTTACTGAACTTTCAATAAAGGATATAGCGGGTCTGATTTTGCTTGGCCGTTTTTCAGATTTTCTGTGCTTTAAAAAGATTTTGTGAATCACAGAATGTCTTCTGTTTCGTGGAGGAGTTGCTGTGAACCTTCCATAGAAGATGGTATGCCATTTTACCACTTTGTTTATAAAATTTATTCATATTGGTATATTCATTCAATTACTCATTTAATAAATTCTTAGTCATTAAATGTAGAAGATAATAACAAAATGAGATGATTGCTATATCCTTTCATACAACATTATTTTGTGATTTTGCTATATGACAAGTGGTACATACATGCAAAAGAAAACCTCAAACAACATTCTCAAATAGTAACTTAGAATCATGAAGCTGCTCAGAAAATATTGTACATGCAGTTTAATCTCATGTCTTTTATTTATCACACAATTATTTATTAGATTCTTATGGTTCCGTTGGTTTGACTTTGTGAAGTGTTTGGAAAAAGGTGTGGCTAAAAGTAAGACATTTGAAATGAAGTCATCTAGTGCAGTAATATAGGGGGAGGAGTTTCTAAAATTTAAGTTCACTGTTCAGGAGGCTGTGGGTTAGAGATTCAAACAGAGCTAAGTACTTATTGGGGCTTAATAATTGCCTAGCTCTATGACCTTGGGCCAATTTAATAATTTACCAGATCTCCAATTTTTTCACCTGCAAAATGGAGCTAATCTTGCCTTTCTTAAAGAATTGTTAAAAGGTTTAAATAAGAAAAAATTTAAAGGCAACTACTATGTTGCCTAGTAAAAGAAAGTTATTATTAAATATGAGTTTCCCTTCCCTTTAGGGGGCTTTTGAGATTTCAGATTTGCACAGTCAGTTCATTTGTCACCATTGATGAGACACTTAAACTGAACTGAAAATTGTGAAGTCTACATACCCTTGAATGAATGAAGGTGACAGTCAGATTTTTGCTCTTCAATATACCAATACTGTGTTTCTACTTCAGTGAGAAAATAGTTTCTTAACCTCAAGTTTAATCATTTGATTCATATCTTAATAGTAGTTATTTTAACAGTACTTTTATTTGTTTTACGTTCATTTCATGTCCCACAAAAGTACAATGAGATTGATTAAAATTGAAGTAATTTTAAAGCTAACTTGAATGTTGTAGTCAGGGGCAACTATCCTGAATCTTGTAGCAGTTCCCTCACTGACTGCTTCTGACAGATATTTTCATGGTTCTCACACAGGAAACAGTAATAACAGTGTTTATTCCAACAATCCTGCTCAAGAGTTAATGTGGTATGAATATAGTAAGTCCTCACGCAACATCATCAATATATTCTTAGAAACTGCAAACTTCAAGTAAAACAACATTTAATGAAACCAGTTTTACTCTAGGCAATTTTTTCCTCTCATTAACTTTATAAAAAAATGACATTGAATAAAACAATATTATTTGAGGAACTGCTGCACTTGTTTTTGCAAGAATTTGCCTTTAAAAAAATGCTTATCCATGTTCTGATACTGTTACATTTAGTCTTTACATGTCTAGAACTTTCCAATCATGTATTTCTCTTCTTTTCTTGTGTATCCTTGTATTTAAAATGATAATTTTAAATCTACCTTTTATTCTCGGTGAACTTCAGGATATAATGCTAACTGTTGTAATAAGTTTCTTTTCTTTCAGAGAAACTGTTAGTTATCTTTCCTCAGTATCACAGGCTTATATCCTGACAAGACCAACCAACAGGTATTGAGTGTTAGTTGTTTTAACAAAATGTTTGAATGATATAACTGAAGTTGCATATCATTAAACAAATATCAACAACAAAAAAGCAGAAAACAAGAAAAGTTTCTAGGCATGAAGTATAACGTATGGGGAATCTTTTAAAATATAATTTAATATTTTAATAGAAGTGCATATCACATTTTTGTGGTTAATCGTTCCATGTTACTCAATCTTCCCATTCAGCGGAATGTGAGCCACTTGAGGTTGCAGGTTTGTTTTAATGAATGTGGGTGTGAGACACAGTTAAGCATGGGATTAAAACAGAAACACTAGTCCATTGCAGCGTTATTCACAATAGCCAAAAAGTAGAAGCAACCCCAATGTCCGCTGATTAATAAATAAATGGATAAATAAAATGCGGTATATACATGTAACAGAATATTATTCAGCCTTAAATGGGAAGGAAATTCTGACACATGCTACAACATGGATGAAACTTGAGGACATTTTGCTAAGTAAAATAAGCCAGTTGTAAAAAGACAATTACTGTATAATTCTACGTAAATGAGGAACCTAGCGTAGCCACACTCATAGAAGCAGAAGATAGAACGGTGGTTACTAGGGGGTTGGGGAGTGGGGAAATGGGGAGTTGTTTAATGGGTACAGCGTTTAGTTTTGCAAGATAAGAGTTCTGGAGATTGATTGTACAACAATGGAATGTACTTAACACTACTAAACTGTATACTTAAAAATGGTTAAGATGGTAAATTTTATGTTATGCATATTTTACCACAATTTAAAAAATGACTCTAGCTTAAAACCCAAAAAGGCTAACAATAATTGGGCTAGGTGCTGTGGCTCATGCCTGTAATCCCAGTGCTTTGGGAGGCTGAGGTGGGAGGATAGCTTGAAGCCAGGAGTTTGGGACAGCCTAGGTGACATAGTGAGACTCCATCTCTATTAAAAAATATATATATAGCTGGGTGTGTTGGTGTGTGCCTGTAGTCTTAGCTATCAAGGAAGCTGAGGCAGGAGAACTGCATGAGCCTAGGCGTTCAAGGTTGCAGTGAGCTATGATCTTGCCTCTGCACTCCAGCAGCCTGGGCAACACAGCAAGACCCTGTCTCTTAAAGAGAAAAAAGTGCTTTGGGAGGCCAAGGTAGGCAGATCACGAGGTCAGGAGATCAGACCATCCTGGCTAACACGGTGAAACCCTGTCTCTACTAAAAATACAAATAAATAAATTAAATAAATAAATAAATAAATAAATAAATAAAAAATTAGCTGGGCGTGGTGGCGGGCACCTGTAGTCCCAGCTACTCGGGAGGCTGAGACAGGAGAATGGTGTGAACCTGGGAGATGGAGCTTGCAGTAAGCCGAGATCACGCCACTGCACTCCAGCCTGGGCGACAGAGAGAGACTCCGTCTCAAAAAAATAAAATAAAAAAAAGAAGAGAAAAAAAATGCACTGTAGTCTACAAATCTTTTTTTCTCCTCCACTTTATGACCTTATATATGCCACTGTACAACTTATAAACTGTAATAACCTTAGTATTGGGATATCAGGAATGTGACTTTTCCAATTAGAAATGTCTGTCCATGTGATTCTCATTGCCAGGAACACGATTATGTAAACAGGATTGTGGGAAGGTTAAAAAAGGCTGCTAGAACTTACTAGTTTGCTGAAACATAGAACGCTTCTATCAGTTTTCTGTGATCTTGGCCATGGTAGAGGACACACCTCATTAACTTTTTGCCATCTTTTCTTCAGTGTATTTTCCTCATCGGTTTTGGTTTCTGTCAGTCAGTGTCACATGGCACTTCCGGCTTCATCCCTACTTGACAAGGTTAAGCCAGTTGATGCTCTGCAGTTCTGTTGAGCTTTATTTTCCTTAGATTTCTCCTGATAACCATAAAGTGAACTCTAGAGTATGTGTTAGGGACTGAAAAGAAGCCAAAATATTTTTATTAGAGTTTGTATTTCCACATTCACTAATTTTCTGAGCAGCAACAATGTGTCAGTGTCCTCTTTGAAAAAATATAATTAGGATGAAAACATTAAAAAAAATTTTTGCTCCATGTTAAACAAAATTCAGGAATAATCTTTACTGATGACATCTGCTTTTTATGCAGTCTTCAAAGTGAACCTATTTAGAGTTTCTCTTGCCCTCTCACTTTTTAGAATATAACTTGGCATTTATTCTGTAGCTCTCTGCTTTGACATATTCTGAGCTAATATGGAAATTGCTATGATCAGTTTGATCTTTAAGCTTTGGTAGATATTTTAGGACTATTTGCATTTTGTATTAAGCGTTAAAATAAAGATAGATAATGCTTTCTTTAACTCTTATTTTGTGGTAGACAGACATAAACATGACCAACAGATATTTTGATGAAGTTCAGATTATAGCAGAGAAATAAATGTAGTCCTCTGTACTAATCATGACTCTTTTCCTATTACACAGAGGGTGAGTGTGATCGACACACTTGATGTTGGTGTGATGTTCTTTCAGCACACTGTTAATCATCTCCTTTGTCCACTTTAGCTGATGCATTATTTTCTCAGTATTTGGACATAGGTATACTGAAAGATCAGTGATCTTTATTTTGTTATTTTGATAACTGGAGCGGATTATGAATAATTTCCATAAACCAAAGTCCAGTGCTTTTTAATGGTTTGTAGGACCATAAGAAAAAACTTATTCTGAAAAGTTTATTGTGAAGTAAAGCAACTTTCCAGAGTTCATATTTGGGAACAGTTAATCAGGATAAAGTATCACTTGTGTATCATAAACAGTTCTAGCCATGAAACAAGATGGCAACTTCTGCCAAACTCTAGGGATGGAGCAAGGTGATATATTATTGGCGTTGAGGGTATGGAGGGAAGAGAGTGAAAACTGGGATGGAATTGTGTGAGGCACAGTTGTTTCCCATAAATTCATGGATAAAGGAACAAGTTTAGGTCCAATCCCAGGGAGAAGTCAATATGGAAGTTCTCATCTGCCAGGGAGAGGTGATGGTGCACCTTAGACATTTTTTTTTCAGTGACGGCAATATTCTGCATCAAAAATAATAAGGTTATGAATTTGGGTTTTGTATCAATGAAAGGGCTACTGAAACATGAGCCCATAGGAATGCAGATTGAACTCTGGAGGAACTAGCTAAAACTAAGAGCTTGGGTCCTATCTTCAAAGTGAACTTTAAGTGAAAACTAGCAGCTGGCTACCTGAAGAAAAGAATCCATTTGCAAGTGTACCAGGATGCCCAAATCTCAGTGACCCAGGAGAGAGGTTGCAGGTAGAAAAGAGCATAATAGGTAGCTGGAATGTGATGAGGGCAAGTGTGAACTATCATGAAGTAATGTGAGGTGAACTTGATGGACGCTATGGGCTTGATCTTTTTTCTGTCCTTTCTCCTTTAAAGCCAGTTTGAGTCCTACCAGCAGGTTTAACCTTTCCTGAAGTATAAGTCCATTTCTGATTTTCAGTAGGCGATCCCTCTAGGTTGGCGTTTCTCAACTCAGCAGTACGTCATTCCTGCTGATTAGGTAGAAGTGACGTTTTAGTTTTGATAACTGAGCTTCACTATCTCAATCTAGATTCATATCCAGCTCTACCATTTAGCAAGTAATCCAGAACAAGTTACTTAAACTTTCTGAGTCTCAATTTCTTTCTATGTAAGTTGCTCAAAAATAATACTTCCCTCTTAGGGTTTTTGAGAGGTGTAGGTGCGATCATGTATTTCAAGTACCGGACACACAGTGGGTACTCAGTGCTGGTTCTTCTCTTTTTTTGACAGCCTCATTGTCCATTTCAGAGTGACAATAATCATGGAGAGCGAACAGGACAGGGCTAGAATTCCTATTCTGTAGATACAGAAACTAAGCCTTGGATGGTTGTGAGTTACATCAAGTGGCTACTGGGCAGAGGAGGAGGCAGCATGAAAAACCAATGCTTCTGACTTCTGTTCAATGCCTTTTGCAT